>NC_000003.12:85767575-86070606 GCF_000001405.40 Homo sapiens
CACCCAATATCCAGTCTGCTGTGCAGTAGATGTCAGTCATGAGAGTGCTGCCACCTCCAACCACGACCTTCTGGCACTTCCACATCCCAAAATGCTAAATGTGGCATTACAGAAACAATTTAAATTTTCAGATCCAAAATTCCATATGCACCAAAAAAACAAAGGGTCTGGCCACATTAAAAAGTGGGTTACAGAAGGACAATATGATGCACATACCTCCATCTCTATTCCAGAAGTGCTCATCAGAAATAAAATTATAAAAGATGCTGGTAGAGCTACCTGTTTAATAAGTGATTGAAACCGACTGTAATTTAGCATCTTAAACTTACGTATGTATCTAACCTTTTGCATCTGTTGTACAACAGATTTATTAAAATCTATACAACAAAGATAGTAAATTATCATATCTGTTTTGTTGATTATAACTGATTATTGTTCAGACGATAATGTATCTTTTTAAGTTCTTCTTTCTTACATAGATTAGCTTCAATGGTAATTATTTGATGGTCTCATATTAATTCCTTTACCATAAGTTCATTAACAAATGGTTTTCAGGTTACATGGATATTTATTTAAAATATATTTTACTGGCCGGGCGCAGTGGCTCACGCCTGTAATCCCAGCACTTTGAGAGGCAGAGGCAGGCGTTTTGCCTGAGCTCAGGAGTTCATTACCAGCCTGGGCAACACAGTGAAACCCCATCTCTACTAAAATAGAAAAATTAGCCGGGTCTGGTGGTGGGCACCTGCAGTCCCAGCTACTTGGGAGGCTGAGGCAGGAGAATCACGTGAACCCAGGAAGCAGAGGTTGCAGTGATCCCAGATCGCACCATTGCACTCCAAACTGGGCTACAGTGCGAGACTCCATCTCAAAATAAATAAATAAATAAATAAATAATAAATAAATAAATAAATTTAAAATACTTTTTTTTTTATCTAACTGGGAAAAATAATATGAACAAAACTTCTTGGCTAAATTGATAAGTCTACACAATAGCAATCACTGTTAAAACTCTAACATTCATAGTAAAAAATCATAATTTACTTCCCAGTTTGAAAATTATTTTTAGATATCTACATGCTACTGATGGAATCTGAATATATATATACACATATATAGTATAAATATACACATATACACACATATAGTATATATACACATATATACACATATATACATATATAGTATATATACACATATATACATATATAGTATATATACACATATATACATATATAGTATATATACACATATATACATATATAGTATATATACACATATATACATATATAGTATATATACACATATATACATATATAGTATATATACACATATATACATATATAGTATATATACACATATATACATATATAGTATATATACACATATATACATATATAGTATATATACACATATATACATATATAGTATATATACACATATATACATATATAGTATATATACACATATATACATATATAGTATATATACACATATATACATATATAGTATATATACACATATATACATATATGTATATATACACATATATACATATATAGTATATATACACATATATACATATATAGTATATATACACATATATACATATATAGTATATATACACATATATACATATATAGTATATATACACACATATACACATATATACATATATAGTATATATACACATATATACATATATACATATATAGTATATATACACGTATATACATATATACATATATAGTATATATACACGTATATACATATATACATATATAGTATATATATACACGTATATACATATATACATATATAGTATATATATACACGTATATACATATATACATATATAGTATATATACACGTATATACATATATACATATATAGTATATATACACGTATATACATATATACATATATGTATATATACACGTATATACATATATGTATATATACACGTATATACATATATGTATATATACACGTATATACATATATACATATATAGTATATACACATATATACATATATACATATATAGTATATATATACACATATATACATATATACATATATAGTATATATATACACATATATACATATATATGATTTGTTCTATATATTTTGCATACCAATTTGATACTTCACATATTAAAAACTTCCTCTACTTCATTTTAACAGATGACAATGCTTGGTTTTGCGTGATTTTGACCTATAAGTAGAAAATATAGTATTTTGTGACATCTACATTTCAGTGTCAAGATATCAATGAGAAAAAAAGGGAAAACAAAGCAGCAACTAAGTTCATTTAGTGTTTTGATGCTAGAACATAAAACAGTGATGGCTCAAATAAAAATATGTGTTCAAATGCAATGTACTTGCATGTTGCAAATTTATATATGATTCAAAAAACAAACAAAAAAAACAGCATTTCTTCAGCCTCTTTCAATAAGATATAGAAATAGCACTGGATTGGGAAACAGAAAACCTGATTCCTCAGACAACTCTACGGGTAACTAACTGTGCTATGGTGGCAGTTGCTTCAACTTTCTAGGCTTCAGTGTTCTTATCTGAAAGATAATAAAGTAAAATATTATAGTCATCGATGTCATTTCTAGACCAAAACCCCAATTCTATGTGCTTATTTGAGAGGGAGTCTAAAATTTCAAGAATCCTCACATGGCTGTAAAAACCACTAAAAATGAAGCACAGGTAATGACATATCAATTTTTTGTTGTTGTTTGAGATAGGGCCTCGCTCTGTCACCTGGGCTGGAGTGCAGCGGCACCCTCATGGCTCACTGCAGCCTTGACATTATGGGCTCAAGCAATCCTGATCCTTCCACCTCAGCCTCCCAAGTAGCTGAGACTAAAGGCATGCACTACCACCACTAGCTGTTTTATTATTATTATTATTTGTAGATAAAGTGTCTCACTACGTTGCTCAGGCTAGTCTGAAACTCCTGGGCTCAAGTGATCCTCCCATCTCTGCCTTCCAAAGTGCCAAATATCCAAATGCAATGATGTTATATGATAGGGAGATTAAATATGAAGATTGCTTTTTGATTTTGATTCTAGAAATATGTGAGAATTTTGTCTAGATGAAAGCAGCAAGTGTATAGCAGATAATAGGAAACATCAAGCCATGGCACTGTAATTGTCTGGGCTATCCCTTCAAATTTGTTAACTAACTTCCTTTCTCGTTCATGCACCTATTTAAGGCCACAAAAGGAGTTTTCTGGTCTTAAATTACTTTCTACTTCTCTAAATCCAGACATGATTTTCCATATACTTTGATAATTTTCAAAGGGCAGATATACAATAGTCTTAACTTTTTAAGTTAGCAATGTAATAAATTAGTGTCTGGACTTCGTCGTCTGTGATACATGTCATGATACATGTCACTTATCCTGTGTCTCATGATAGGTGTAATTTAAACTGTGCCCCTCGTTGGCTCTGGCAACTCCTTTCTCATATGGATTAAGACAGTCCTCTTATTTTTAAGAATTAGAAAACAATAACTCTTCCAACAAATTTATGTGAGCCCTGAAAGTAAGCACTTTATCAATCTAAATTAGACCATAAGTGTTGTGTTTAGTGAAGCATAGGTTACAGTTCATTGGGTCAGTAACATTAAATAATTATCATATTAGAATAACAGGATTTCCTGAACTTCTTAAACCCATTGGTCAATTCACAAATCAATCCATATCTTTCTTTAGGGAAATTAAATACAAATTAATGTTCCTATGGTTGCATTAATGTAATGCTTATTTACTATTTTAAGTTGAATAAACTGAAAAGTTTCTCAAGAGTCTAGAATTCAGTATTTTTCTACTATTTGCATGGGGAAAACAAAGCTTGCTTATAAAGTATCATAAGTTATTTGAGCAAAATATATATCTCCCTGATATTATTCGTACTATACTTAATATTTTGAAATTAGTTTTAGCTTTTGAATCTAGACTTACATATTACATGCTTTTAAACAGATACTAAACATTTGACGGAAATACTAGAAAAATGTATCCATAGAAGCCGCTAGGTAGGAATGAACAAAGGAATTTCTAAAAGGGTCTAAAAAGGGTCTCTCTTTGCAGGTAAATAATCAAAAAGAAATGGAGAACAGGTCAGACATTTATGACACATTGATAGAATTATTTCTGAAAAGGATTTTTCTTTCCAAAATGAAATATGTTTTTCTTCAAGTTCCATCTCTCTAGATGGCCGATCTATAATGAGCTGAAGAAGGGATTTTGCTCTTTCCCAAAAGTGTTTTCTGAATGATCAGAAAGAACTAGTTCCATTTCTTTCCAAGTTGAGCCAGAATGTCACAAATCAAGAAAGGTGAAGTTTTTCAGCAAAAGGGATAGTAAATGCACTGAACTTTCACAAGCTGCTGTAGTATTGTATTTTTTCTTTCTTTCTTTTTTTTTTTTTTTTTTTTGGTACGTGTATAAAATGTATTGATAAAAGAATCTGTGCACCTCTGACACTATTGGAAGCAAATGAAAATATCGTGGGGAGAAAATAAAGTTGAGGTTAGCAAGATCAGTCCTAACCATAGCATTTATGAAACATAAAACAAGTTGGACCAGCTTTAAAACTGTGCAGGATAAGACACTCACATGCATCCAACTGGAAAAAGATAATTTTCATAATATTAACTGGTCATTAACTGACTTTTTTCTTTTTACTAAAACTAACTCTTCCTAGTTACGTTTAGCTTTGGAATTTCTGCATTCGAATATTGGAATTTTCTTTGACTTACTTAGATCTGTTCTTATGTGTATGTATGCAGAAAACGTGTGCATTGTCATTTTATCTGTGTGTATGTGTCCATCTAAGTAGAATTTATGGAATATCTAAGTTCTTGAATATAAGCCTTGAATTAAGATACAGACAAATTCTCAGAAACAAACAAAAATGTATATATTTCTAACTCAATTTCACTTCTTTTGGCACTGGTGATCAATAAAAAGTATAGAGTTGATTATAGAATTTCAAAGTGTTAATTAATAATTAGTAATAAGCAGGGAATGTTAACCTCCCTCTTTTTCAGCAGCCAGGAAACTGGCATTCAGAGATTAACCAAGAAGTTCAGTTTAGAGGAGGAGGATATTTTGCAAACCTTAAAATACAAAATGCCACTGACAGTCAAGAAGCATCTATCTCTATTTAACTCCCATCACAGTCTAGAACAGAAGCTATGTTTTCTTTTTTTTTTTTCCCTCACAGCTGCTGAGAGCAGCCTTAGGTGTACAGTAACTCAGATCTCCTTTTTGTCTGCTTTCATTTCCAGTTTTTTTTTTTTTCTTTTCCTCATCCATTTTCATTCTTTTTTTTGATTCTAGCTAAAAATGTGATCATTTTGCTGTATGATTCCCTGTGATAAATATATTAGTTAGGTAAAGCTAGCTCCTATAACAGATAGATCCCAGTTGCATAATTGATTAAGCAGCTGAGATACACATATTTTTTCTTGTTCGCATATTGATCCCAAGAGTGGGCCTCTTCCCCAAAGAAATTCAGGAAAACAGGCTGACAAACAAGAGCCTTGTCATCTTCTTAAAACACAAAACAAAATAAAAAAGACCTGTCAAAATGTCATAGTCAGCCAGAAGAAGAAGAAAACATAGCAGAGTGGTGTGAAACTTTTTAATGGCTCAACCCCAGGAAATAAACAGCCCCTTTTCCTTACGTTCCTTTGTCATTTAGCCACACAGTCACACTTAATGGAAGAGTAAGATGGGCAATGCAGACCAGCTGTAAAGATAGGTACTGGAGGAAAAGTGTTTTCATAGCTAGCAGTCTCTGCACAAGGAACTTAACATTAAATGCTACTCTTAGTCCATTTAACCCTGTCACAAAAACATCTATATCCCCAAATCTGTATTTTCAGATGACAGAAATGGCCAACATAAAAAGTCTTTCACTTATTTGTATAATCAATATACCAATTTTTAAACTTTGTCAAATAAGCATTTGTATGATTACTTGTTTAGGAGTTCATTAGTTGGATTATCACTTTTCCATACAATGGTATTGCTTTCAGGCACATTTACATCTGAAATAATCAACAACATAGGATATCTTTCAGAGAAAGACTAGAGATTGATGCTTATTGGTTTAATGTCCTTGATTTCTCATACTTTAAGTTCCGTGAGTGCTGGGGTTCGTGCCAATCTTGATCATTCCTGATCCTCAGTATTAAAAATGATGCAGTTTTCATGGAAAGTATTACTAAATAAATATGTACAAGTGTGTGGTGAATGAATACAGAAATACTAGAAATTGATGTAATTTTATCTTAATAGACAAAATTTTAATATCGATAGACTATTTCCTTTTCAAAGGGACATATTTTACCTATCCAGGAAAGCATAATCTTGTTTTTGGAGGCTGATACTTTTTGCTTTGAAAGTTGTATTTGAAAAATTGTTTTCATTAACCTTGGCACGTAGCTTTTGTACTTTTCATTAGATCCTTTATCTACATTTTTAAAGCCTCATACCTCTATTTCCTCTTCATTTTTTTTTAACTAAAGAACAGGAATATTGTGTTTCTAACTGAAAATAACTAAAAGGAATCTAAGAACAAATACGGTAAATGTCTCTCAACAAACAGTTGTACAGTCTCCTGGTTTAGATGGACAGGAGAAAATAATATTCGGATGATTTCCACATGCATATCGGTGTTCTTAAATTTAATGTTGATAGCCTACAGATATTTTATGCAGTATTATTTATGGTAGAATTTCTTAACATAAGAAAAAGGCAATTAATCACAGAAAGGCAATAATTTTCAGCAGTTTAAAGAGGAAGATTCTGTAGTCACCATATGCCAAGCAGAATGCACAAGGAAATGTTTTAATATGTAGATAGTCCAGAAGTGGTTTTCATCTGTAAAAATTATGATGCATCTTATTTAATGCTAAATTTTATTACCTTTTTTGCAAAAATATTATCCTCATGAAACATTTTTATTAGTCTCTTGCAACCAGAAATATTGCTACTGTTTATCTTCCCTAGTTTTTTTTTTAATCCTAAGAATAGCTCTGGAATTAGAAAAATTGTGGTTTTCTTTAAAACTTCAATTTTAATCTTTATTTTACTGAAAGATTATGAAGTCTGCTCTCATAATAGGTCACCTAAATTAAGTTAGACATAACATTATGGGCCACAATTATTTTGAATAATTTTGGTAGTTATTGTTAGGATTGGGAAGCCTATGAAAACACTCGGAAAGTAGCAGAGTGGTAGAGTTGAATTATATTTCAACACCGATAGAACCACTAGGTTCAGTGTAATTAAATTTTCATGATACACATGTATATAGTTAAATCATTGCTAGTCAGTTAAATCTAGAAAATACACATACATGCACACACATAATTTCAGATAGATATATATGTGTACTTACATATGCACACACACACACCCTTATATAATCATGAAGATAAGCCCTTTACTATAGCACTTTTATCATGTGATTTTCATAAACCTACATCAAAAATAAGGAGTGAACAAAATTCAACATTAGAAATAAATGGAATATTTAACATACTTAAGGTGACCATACTGAGCATCTGTGTAGAGCAGTAAGGATTTTTAGTATCTAATGCAAGTTAAAACCCAAATTTCTAAAGCATACTCAATAGGTTTGTCTCATGACATTTACAATTCTTTCAAATCTTTAAATGGGAGTCCATTTACATTTCTGCAAAACAATTTAATTTATCCTACTTTCAAAGCTTTGTGCCCTATTATAGTATAATAATATTACTACTGATATCATCAGTTGTATTAATGCAGGAATTAATACTATAATCACTATATTGGTGATTGGTTCAGGTCTTAAAGACATAGTTCAACAAATTTGCATAGCATTCAACAGATTGTGATGACTATATTGTAGCTTTATAAACTTGAAAATCAAAATCCACTCGGAATGATTTATTAAGATAATCGTTTGTACTCAGAATTTTATAAACTGCTTTTTAAAAATTTGCCTATGCTGAATTTTCTTGTTTTTCTTAGGAATTTTGCTTCCTCCAAATTCAGCTCTATAAAATAGATTTGGTGCTATACTAAGTGCATTTCTGTTTTACAAGATTACTAGAGGTTGATCTTCCATTATTTCAGTTATATACAATCTGATACAATAAACTTACTGATATGAAAAAGGAATTATACTCTCATTTATGAGAAAACTATGCTCCAACCCAGAGATTCTATTCAGATAAATCCACTCATGTCCACATGTTATTAGGTACTAAATTACCTTTAAAATAATTCAGTAATTTGAAAAGTAGAAGATTTTTATTAAAGGATTTTTAGAGCAAAAGAAGAAACATAATTTTAGTACAGGCAACTATTTCTAACACGAATTCATTGATCTAGAAAATTACTTTAATGCACATATCAATATACAAGCCAGTTGCTTTTATTTCAGCAATTAAAAATATCTGTGAATTTCTCTTGGGGGTTATAATGAGAATATATAAGAAATTTTCATAGTAAAACCATAATTATACTTTCATTATTGTTATACTAGTAAAATGAAGTTTTAATTAATAAAATGTTGAAAACAGGGAAAACAAATCACTCATTCTAGGCTTATTATAGTCTTCATTGAGAAAAATACATCTTTAAGTTTTTTTAAATGATAAAACAGACTTAGTAGCCAAATAGTTTAAGAATTGAAAATTAAAACATTGTAAATCTTAAGGAAAATATGACACACAAACTCTCTTACACACACACACACACACACACACACACAGAGTGAAAGAGAGAGAAAGATAATGTTATTTTTATGTCTCCAATTTGTGAATACTACTGAAGTCAAATCACCATTTTCATTTTTAATATTATTTAAAAACCCATACCTGTCATGTCTGGCATAGGAACTTAATAACTTATTATTTGAATGAACAGTTGAATAGAACATCATTTAATGTAAGATCTAGTTTGAAATTCCCATCTTGCCATTCTCTAGCTGTTTACTTTTAGATGTATTACTTATCTTTATTTATGTTGTTGACAATAACATACACCTTGAAATTATTTCTGCTCTTTAATTGTGAGAGAATATATTTTTGTGCACCACAGAAATGTAATATTTCAATATAAGTGTTAAGGCATTTTTGATAAAATATTAGATTTCTAATGCCTTACATAAGTAAATACTCAGTGCTAATTGTTTTTACTTCCCAATCCTGGTGATTATATATATTTTTTGTAAATATTACCAAGTCAAAAGAGAAAAATGAATCCCAGTTACCTCTAGGTATATGGTATTTGCAAAACAGAATAGATGTCTGACACGCCTGAAAGTTCTGCTAAATAATATGACTTAATTTGATATGGTCTTTGAATCACAATTTAATGCATTCCTGTGTATTTGTTCCCCTAGTATAAATCAGGTTATACATTATTTATTCATGTTTCCTTTTAAACCGTTTCAAATTCATTGCTTGTTATATTTCCAGAATGTACATAAATATGCATAGTATTTCTTTCTCTTACTTTCATCTACTTATGCAAATTTTTCATTTTGTATTTCAGCATTATCATTTTCATAAATAAATTTTTTATGACATTCTCATGGTATTCTAATATATCTACTTGTACAGAAAACATTTGCTATGGTTTTTAAAAAATTATTATTATTATTATTATTATTATTTTGAGGTGGAATCTCACTCTGTTGCCCAGGCTGGAGTGTCGTGGCGTGATCTCAGCTCACTGCAGCCTCCGCCTCCCGGGTTCAAGCAATTCTCTTGCCTCAGCCTCTGGAGTAGCTGGAACTACAGGCACATGCCACCATGCCTGGCTAATTTTTTTGTTTTAGTAGAGATGGGGTTTCTACTCATTTGCCAGGCTGGTCTCCAACTCCTAACTTCAGGTGATCAGCCCGCCTTGGGCTCCCAAAGTGCTGGGATTAAAGCATGAGCCACTGCACCTGGCCTGCTATATTTTAAACTCAGGTTTTCATGGTTGGTTCTTCTGCTCTCATGTTTTCCTATATTCCTCTACTATTCTTTTTACCTCTTACTCTTTCTCATTTCAATACACCTGATTTAAAGTAAAATTCGGTTTATGAAGAGATCTTCCACACTGGCATTATTTAATAGAAGCATGTAAACTCAGTCTTCAATAAGTACTTTCTCTCAAATTGTCTAACATGTAGGCAAACCAATTTAAAGAAAAGCTTTTTATGTGTTCCAGTATAGAGCAGTGATAAAAGCCGGTCTGTACCATCAGAAATAATGAACAATTTTCGTGAAGCAAACTCTAATGTCAAAGTGGATGAACTCACAGATATTACCCTTATCTCATTTTAATATGCATAGGTATACAAAATATGCATACGTAGGTGTTATATTGTCTTCAACACCTCGACCAGTGAACAGTACAATCATCCATTATGACTTCTGTGTGAGGGCAAAGAGAGGCGACCTAGGATATTCATATGGGCTGAGCCTAATTTGGCTCCTGCCCTAAATAATGGTAGCATGAGGAAAACATTTGGAAATGTTTAGGGGGAATAAAGATAAAAGCAACATTATTAGTCTGTTTATATTATTTTGGTGTTCAAAAAATTCGCCTGTTGAAAAGCATTATTTACAAATGATGCCATTGTGTTTCCTGTTTCTCAGGAAGATAAAGAAGAATCCATATGTGTATATGTGGATATACACACACATATACACAATTTTAAATAAAAATGCTCATTTTAAAAAATTATTCTGAATATAACTTACATGGTTTGGCTCCGTGTCCCCACCCAAATTTCACCTTGAATTGTAATCCCCATAATCCCCGCATGTCAGGGGAAGGACCACATGGAGGTAATTGAATCATCATGGGAGCAGTTTCTCCCGTGATGTTCTCGTGATAATGCACGAGATCTGATGGATTTATAAACATTTGGCATTTCCCCTGCTTGCACTCACTCCATCCTGCCACTCTGTGAAGAAGGTTTCTCCTTTGCCTTCCACCATGATTGTAAGTTTCCTGAGGCCTCTCAACCATGCAGAACTGTGAGTCAATTAAACCTCTTTCCTTTATAAATCTCCCAGTCTTGGGTATTTCTTCATAGAAATGTGAGAATGGAATAACACAATAATCAACTTATCTTTTATGTATATGAGGTCACACACCTCCTCCTGTTACTTTGCTAACTTGTCACCCTCTCACTTAGCCTCACTCTCCCTTTCTCCTAACACTGCTTTAGTTTCCTTTTACTTCTCTATTATCTCCTCTGACCAAAAAATCTTTGCATAAATTTTAAAGACACACTCTTCATACACTTTATCTTCATTGTGCAACACACAAAGATCTATTGGACTTCAGCAATAAACAAAGAAATCCATCCTGCCAAATGTAAGTGACAGCATATGCTTTCTTTTAAGACAAGGAGACTTAGGACTTGATTAGATTTAATTGATGTTAAATCTAGGGGTGAAATTTTGCTTTAAGCCATTGTCCAAATACAAGAGAGTACTTTACAGTATAATACTTAAGGATAATTCTAAGTATTTTAGGGCCATGAGTCTCTATGGGGCATATTTTTGGTCAAAGGAGAACTTGCATTCTCCTGAGTTAATGATTTTTTTTTTTAATCAATGCAATGACTGTTGCAGTCAGTAGTCAATAAAATAAAGTTTATTTTTACACAACTTTATATTTGTAAAGCTACTCTTTAAAACAATCTTACCATGCCTAAAGCCTCTGCAGTTTTGCGCTGAGCATCTTTTATTATTTCTTATTTTATTATTCTGTTCTCATGCTGCTAATAAACACATGCATGAGACTATGTCATTTATAAAGGAAAGAGGTTTAATTGACTCACAGTTCAGCATGGTCGGGAGGCCTCAGGAAACTTACTATCATGCCAGAATGGGAAGAAAACACATCCTTCTTCACATAGCAACAACAAGGAGAAGTGCAGAGTGAAGAGAGGAATGCCCCTTACAAAACCATCAGATCTTGTGAGAACTCACTATCATGTGGGCAGCATGGGGGTAACCAACCCCATGATTAAACTACCTCCCACCAGGTTCATCCCACAATACGTGGGGATTATGGGAACTACAATTCAAGATGAGATTTGGGTGGGGACACAACCAAGCCATATCACCTATATTTTAAACATTTACAGATACTATATTCCCATCATATGTGTATCACAAATCAGGATGGGAACTGCATATTTGCTAAGATTATTATTCAATGAAAAACTGAGTTTTTATTTGTTTATGTTTTTATTAGGTGCCTTTATCTACTTAGTTATTTTAAATACGAAAGGAGCTAGGTAGGTAGTACAACAGGCAGGCTCACAATGATTGAACTGGTGAAGATATAGATACGAAGGACTAAGTAACATCTAGTGGTCCAATTGGAGTTGATCAATATGATAAAGAAAAAATAAATATTTCTTAAGCTTCCATAACACTTAAGTAATGAATAATAATTTCAGAATAAAGACCACAATTATTTAAGTGAAATCTGAAATGCGAGTTAAAGTGTACACTTGTTTAACTCTCATAATAGTTTTTATTTTTATTTTCATTTGCTTTGTTAATGCTGCCATCAGAAAAATAAGGGTGTGACTAGTAGGCCGACATGTACATTCAAAAAGGGCTGTGCGTACTGGACAGGCAATGATACTACTGACCTTAAAATAGTGTACTTATTCAGAGATGCTTTTCCTGAAGTGAGAAAACACTGGAGCTAGTTCTTCCCACTCTTGTCCTCAATCTTTCTGTTGAATCAAAGCAAACATTCATGAAATAATTGTCTATAGAACAGAGAAAAGTCTACTGGGTCACAATGAACTTTATACAACACCATTGATACTAACTTATATGTCATAAACAATAAAACAAGAAAAAGATTTAAACCCTCTTAAATACCTTTTCTTAAATCCTCTTATGGACAAATTTCTTGAAAACTGTTGGTTACGCTTAGTATCTTCATTTGATCACTTCCCAAAACATTGCCTTCTGCTTTCTCTTTTCATTTTTTCAGTTAGCAAAGTCCCTCAGGCATATGTTGATCAGTCCTCCTGGATATGCTTCTGATCTTTTATAAACCTTATTTTCCTGCAACATTTGAGCTGTGAAAATAATCTTAATTTTTTTCTTGCCTTTAGATATGTGATTCCCTCTAATAATCAACTACTTCAGTGTCCTTCTCCAATAGCTGCTATTTTGATCATGTATCCCTGTATCTGTTCCCTCAGGTAGTCTCTTTCCATACAGACTTTGGGCTTAACCTTGTGACTTGTTTCGGCCAATGAGACAATAACAAACATAAAGCAAGAGGGAATTGGAAAGTGCTTGTTCCTTGGACCATGCTCTTGGGACCCAGGAGCCATGAAATCAAGCCTAGTCACCACCTGTCACCCCAGCTGACGGCCAGCCTATCCCCAGAAGCCAAGTCCCCAAAAGCAGATGGCTGGCAACTAACTGTAGATGCATTAAGAAGCACAGCCAAGATCACAAGAACTGGCCAATGAAGCCCAGTTTAAATTGCTACCTATGAACTTTTCCTTTTGTGTCGGTACTTGCAACTAATTAAGATGGCATCCCCATCTATTCTATCACGTAGCTGGAAAACCAAGGTCATGCTCAATGGTTTCCTTTCCATTCTGTCCTTCATGTAATTGGCCTTTAAGTCTTACTGCTATTTTTAAACTTGAAATTGTTTTAGTACTGAACTATTTTATGAACTTAGCATATATTTGTCATTATCTGATATGAATTTAGGTACTCTCTTTCCTTCCTTTAGGTTCTATATTCTACTTTCTCTTTCATAACACCCTATTTCTGATTGTCTACATGGTGCAAGTTATGCACCAGGCCATGAACACAATGGAGAGTCTATTTCAAATACTTTATTTTATTTGTTACCTAAAGTCTTCTGAAAGCCTTTCATAGTCCTTCTTCTAAGAGAGAATGTAGAAAATGAGAAAATAGTCTATTTTTGAGGGATTTTTAATTATAAAAATTAAATCAGGAATTATATCTGTGGTTGTTTAACTGAGATGTAAAACCTCCATCATCTTGATTCTTTGTTTAACCAAAGACTGTTTGCACAGCTTGCAAATAATACTTCTGTAGGAAATTAAATCTTTATAATGCCTCTGTCTCAGGGCCATGTTTTGCCAGTGTTTTGGAGACCAGACTTTCTATTTTCTTTCACAAAGCTAAGTAATACCCACAGAATCCTTGAAGAAATTTAAAATTAACAATTAGAATACAAGAAAGAAAAACTGTAAAATGTTTGGCATTGGAAATTTATGTGAGTGAGTGTCTTTTCTAAACACACCTACTGTAAATGTTATGCACAGGAAGCATTTTGAAATACTGCCAACATTTTTTAGCCACTTATGCTTTGCTACTTTGCTCAAAACGACATGCCCTTTCCAAAGTAATCATGGAAACAAATGAAAACATGGCTTTTGCCCAGCAGCCACTTAGTGTAGCTTTTGGAGTTGATTGAGTATATAATAGAACATTCTTAATGCTGACTTTATTAAAACAACTTCTATCAATTATTATACTATGTTATTTGTGCTTATGCACTTTGCTATTTCTTTTCATTTGAATTTAATGTGGTTTACTCATAGGAGGTGTTCAATAAATAATGTTAGAATAAATGGAAATTAACAAACATTATATGATCTCTGTTCATTTTTTCTGTAACTTTTTAACTCTTTTGTAAACAGGAAATATATCTACTCTGCTATAATGAATGAAGGAAATATATAGTTTCAGAGGCTAAGAAATACACTCCATTTCTTGCCGAGTGAGATGGCTCATGCCTATAATCTCAGCACTTTGGGAGGCTGAGGCGGGCGGATCACGAGGTCAGGAGATCGAGACCATCCTGGCTAACACAGTGAAACCCCATCTCTACTAAAAATACAAAAATTAGCCTGTAGTCCCAGCTACTTTGGAGGCTGAGGCAGGAGAATCGCTTGAACCCAGGAGGTGGAGGTTTCAGTGAGCCAAGATCGTGCCACTGTACTCCAGCCTGGGCGACAGAATGAGACTCAGTCTCAAAAAAAAAAAAGAAAAAAAAAAGAAAAAAGAAATATACTCCATTTCTTTCGAATCTTTCTTTCTCTCCTTAAATTAATGTATTGCTTAGAGGAGAAAACTTGCTTAGAAACAATACAGAACTTTAGAATACTGAATTTGGATACAGGTAATAAAACCAAGTCTTAGAAAAGTGATAGCCACTCCCCTGTGTCAACGTAATCGAGGGTAGGGAGATTAAAGAAGAGAGAAGGAACAGCTACATTTAATTTAATCATATTGCATTCTTCCAAAAGTACATTTAAAACTCAACTCAGCAAAAATGAGATTCAGTAAACAGTGCAAAACTTAAGTTTTAAGTTATTTTTGTCTTAGAAATTTTTATCAAAACAGGGCCCAATATTAGTACATAAACAAAATGTAAATTTACTCTGGTAATATGCCAGTTGATGATTAGGTAGTTTTTCTATTCATATAAGAAGATAAGTAAGAAATAACCAGTTTTCTTACTTCATATATTCAGACACTTTTTTGTTTTTATCTTGAAACAACCAGCATAACCAAGGATTAGATTTATATACTTAAGATAAAACTCTTATGTAAGAACAGCAGAGTTTATAAGATTTGGTTAAATGAAGTAGCAAATGCACAAAAATAAGCCATTAAAATAGCTTAACAGTCAACTCAAACCACTGATGAGCACTATTTACAGATAAGTGTATGCCTTACTTCTCACCAACACTTCTGCTTCTTATTTGGCATATGTCCAAGTTTCTGCTGTGGTAACATTTGCTCCTGGGAGGAGATGAAGGAAAAAGGGTCCATAAGGTTCCCATTGGTCCAGACAGTAGAAACATCTGCTGGATTCATCAGCAGCTTGCTGGCCCAAGTCAGTAGGGAGAGTTGACGCTTATCAACCCTGCCATATGAGTCCATATTTCCTGTGTCCTGGAGCTACACAAGCTAATTCAAGAAAAAAACGAAAGAAGTGCATTACATGCCAAAATTTCCTCATTACATAAGCATTATATATTTTTAAGTAGCTATCATGGTATTATAAATTATGAGTTTGGTACTGATGAAATTCAAACTGTAACAAACAGCAGAGTTTACTGGATTATCTTATCATTAATTAGGTCGTTTTGATTAATGATGGATTCTAAGCATTTAGAACTTTGCTTAGAGATATTTGACCCTCAAACTTGAGAAGTTGGTTATTGTTTCTCTTTGGTGAGAAAACATTTGTCAGAAAAATATGCACCACTTTTTTTTAAAGTACGATCATCTTTGTAGGTCACTTTAAGATTAGCTGGTCAATGACTTTAACAATGGGACTTGAAATTACAGCCTCAAATGTGAGCTTAATAAATTGTTACTAAATATAACTATTGATCTCTCTCTCACACACACACACATGCGTGCATGCACGCTATCTCACACACACTGCACGCACACACATTTGTCATTTCAAAAGTAATAGTTGTATTCAAAAGTGTATCTTTATTCCCATCTTGCTCCCAATAACCAGAACACTTGGAATTTCCTGCAGTTGTCCTCTGTATCTTTGGCTAATTCTATTCAATGCCCTTAATTTGAAAAATCTGTAGCTTCCGATGATTTATTTATTAAAGTTTTTAGTAACAACTAAGTCACTGGAAGAAAATATGGATCAATTTTTAAAATTATAAACAAGGGATTGCTATGAAGCAATAAGGCTAATTTTTTATTATAACTTCTTTGAAAGAGGAATTTTAGTAATGACAATGCAGTTGAAATTTTTTAATGGACTGATTTTAGAAATACAACACTCAGTTTATATCTAAATTTGAGTAATAAGAATCAGGTATTATTAATATGACAGTGTAGCTGAGAAGAAAGAAAGAGATCTAAATATATTTATCTATCTATCTATCTATCTATCTATCTATCTATCTATCTATCTATCTAACACGTTTGGTTTCACATCTGTTAAAGCATATGAGACTAGCACATTGAAATGAAAATCTATTGTTGCACAAAGTGTACACAGAATTCATGTCATAACTTATTTAGTTCTAATCCGATATGGATTTTTGCATCTATGTTCATCAGAGATATTAGCCTGTAGTTTTTGCCTTTGTGTGTGTGTTTCTGCCTGGTTTTGGTATCAGGGTAATACTGGTCTCATAGGATGAGTTTGGAAGTATTCCCTCCTCCTTGATTTTTTTGAAACAGTTTAAATAGAATTGGCATTAGTTCTTTAAATATTTGTAGAATTTGACAGTGAAGCCGTCAGGCTCTGGGTTTTTCTTCTACAGGAGACTTTTTATTGAGGCTTCTATCTTGTTACTTTTTATTAATCTTTTCAGATTTTGTATTTCTTCATGATTCAATCTTGGTAGGTTGTAGGTGTCTAGGAATCTGTCCATTTCTTCTGCGTTTTCCAATTTATTGGCATATAGTTAACATAATAAACTCTAATGATTCTTTGAATTTCTGTAGTATTAGTTGTAATGTATCATTTTTCATCTCTGATTTCATTTACTTGGGTCTTTTTTCTGTTTTCCTCAATCTGGCTAAAGGTTGGTCAATTTTATCTTTTCAAAAATCCAACTTTACATTTTGTTCATCTTTTATATTTTTTAGTGTCAGATTCATTTATTTCTGCTCCGATCTTTATTATTTCTTTTATGCACTAATTTTGGGTTCAGTTTGTACTTGCTTTTCTACTTCTTTAGGAAATAAGACAAATAAGTACAATTTTAAGCATGAATACTGAGACTAATCTGTTATTGGAATTATTAGAATAGCCTGAACCTCAGCAGATATACTAAGCAGAAATTTGATTTTGTGTTAATCTGAATATTGTAGTTGCGGTGCCCACTTTGCTAGCATAGTAGCACAATTCTAGGTTTCATGGATACAATAATATCCATGAAACACACCAAGCTTTATCCAATACCAAGTTTACCTGAAAGTCATATAAGACAGGTGATACAACAGAATGTCACCAGCTAGCAGAGGCCCTGGGACTCCTTGAAATGCTTCTGAATGTGCATAATAGCCATTTGTACTAAAGATTAGACTGAGTTAGCATGAGCAACCTCAGCTCAGGGAAGCTTCCATCTTTGGAGTCTATTTAAGCATTTTTGTCTTGCTAGTGACACCGGCTATTCGAAATTCTTCCATCAGCTTCCATTTTCTTGTACAACTAAATCTAATCAATACTGATAATTTATTATGCAATAAACAATCTCAACAATAGCCTGCAGGCACTTAGCCTAGTACATAGCAACTTCCTCAGTTCTCATTTATTTTGGATCCAGTACAAATCTATGAATGATTTGAATTGCAAAGATGATTCAACCAAGAGGAAACTGCTCAGGAGTTCCGGATACTAGAGGAAAGGTCAATGATTCGTTATTAGCCCTTTCCTCCCAATATGATAGTGAAGTGACCATTGGCTTTGCTGTGAATGTATTTTTTCCAGGTATCATTTTGCAACTATTCTCCAGAATCTGCATTCATAAATTTAAATAATTAAAGATTTTTACACTTTCACCTTAATTTTTATTGAAGTTTAATAATTTAAATTAAAAACACTTCATTATAATTTTCTAATGAACAGATTAAAAATGTAGTAATCCCAAAAAAGGATACAAAAAAAGTATTAATTCTCAGTTTGCTTTATCAGAAGTATAATTTCTTTAGCAAATTTATCTGTAGAAATCTATACAAAGTACCAAGTTTCATTTTAATATGTTCCCACAACAGTTTCCACTAAACTCTCATAGGGTAATGTTCCCCTAGATCTAATGTGGCACTACAAAGGGCTTGAACATCAAAGCATGCAAACATGGACAAGATGGGTGAAATCAACATTAATGAAATCTTTGTGCATTCAAAAATGATCAAACAGTGGAAAATACATCCTTTTAACCACTGTGTTATTTTACATTGTTTTTAAAAAAGATAGTTTGTTCGTTAGGGAATATTCCAAGTTTATTTCTATGTTACTACATATTGATCAACACTTAAATAATTAAGGTACTATCATTTGAACACAATGTTTATGTGTTCAAAAATATGTGCCCACCATGTCTAAGGCAGTATCTTATGTCTGTCAGAGAATGAAATATTATGTATATGTATACCTCTGCTATCAAGAGCTTTATACGTCTCACATTCATATATCAATGGTTACCTTGGCGATAAAAACTCTGGTTTTGGAAAAGAAAATTATTTCTATGATATTAGTCAAAGGAGAAGTTGTATTTATAAAGTTTATATTTCACAGGGGAAAAACTTAAATTTTGTGTTACTGCATTTTTGTAGTCTGCTGGGAACTTGTTCATTTGAAAGCATAGTATTGTTATTCACTCAAAGAAATATATATTTGAAAAAGAAAACTGTTTTAAATATAATATTTACACCCATAGGTGGATTACCAGAAATATTTTCTTTTCTCCCAAAAAAATATTGCAGTTTATAAGCCAGCAATAAAATAAATGACCAGCATCATTAATAACAAGGAACTTACCAAGCCAATGCCATTTTAGAGTGGAAGTAAAGGACACATTTTTCATCAAAGAGTGAGGAGGATGTGAGCATATAGATAACAATCCTGTTTTATACAAACTCAAGCTAGTAAAAGATGGGTCTCCATTTAATAGGAAGTATTTTGCAGTGTAAAAATTAAAATCACGAAATTGTTACCTCTGTAAATCAATTATCCCAGGATTTAATGGATTCTTTAATATTTTCTCAATGAGGTACTTGATTGTAAACACAATTTTTACAATGATTCATCTTCAAGGTTAAAAATGCTTGACTTAGGGATCATGATTAAGTCATTCCTTGGTGTTGGACAAGGGGTATTGGTTCCAGAACCCTGACTATACCAAAATCCAGGCATACTCAAGTCCCACAGTTGGCTCCGTGAAACCTGCTTATATTAAAAGTTGGCCTTCCATATATGTGGGTTTCTCATCCTGCAAGTACCATATGTTCAGCCTGTATTTGTTTGAAACATATGCCTATATAAATGATCCTGCACAGTTCAAACCCATCTTGTTCAAGGGTCAGCAAATTAGAAAACAGCATTTTCTGATAATGTAAATGAGTCATATCACTTCTTTCAATGTCTTGCCGTTGTGTGTAGAATAAGTGTAAGCTCCTTATTATAACCTAACAAGTCCTGCATGATCTGGCCTTGAACTTCTTTTCTGCCTCATCTTGGGCTATACCATTGTTGTCTGTTGTGTGCCAGTCCTATTGATATTTTTCAGTTCTTTCAACAGCTAACCTATTTCCTGCCTCTAGCTCAGGACTTTTGCATTAGCTGATTTACTTTTTGGAATACTGGCCCTGGTGTCTAACATTCTTGACCTCAGGCTATTTTTAAATGGCTGACTGTTTCTCGCCATTTAACTAAGTCTTTATTTATGTGTGCTTTTTTGTTTTACTTTCCTTAGGCTGTTAGTTCTGGTGGGCAAGAATCATTTCTAGCTGTTCACAGTTGTTTTCCCAACACATACTATGGGAATCCTGTTCTGGTATAAAACATACATTTGTTGAATAAACTAATGTCATTGAGGTATATTTTATCAGTAAAATCCACTAAAAATGTAAAAGCAATTTCAGGAAACATTGTTATATTTATAGTTCATATCAATAATATAAACTGAAATTATACACTATTAAGTGACATATGCATATGTTGGATATCACTTTCTCTTACACATATTTTATATCTATGCCATTTTGAAATTTCTTATTACATTCCGTAATTTAACGAGTTAGAATCCAAACATCTATGTAGCTATTTTACATAAATAACTTTATTTAGTGCACCAATGCAATTATTTTAATTTTTTACAGAGAAGAATACAGAAAAAGAATATTAATGTAGAAGCAATTTAGATAATAATCAATATAATTTTATGCTTCCAGAGTATGCATATAACAGGTGCAATCCAAAATAAAAATAACGTCAAAATATACATACAGTAAGTCAAATAACTAGCAACAATAAGTCAGGAAACAATTGATTTGAGTTTGAATAATTTTTTTTTTTCATTTGGAATTAGGAAAAACCAGCATGAAAACCAGACTGAAGTCCTAGTATCTTCTCAATTCATAACTTTCCTTATAATCTTTATCGTATTTGGCTAGTCATATTTTCTATATTCACATATTTGAAAAAATTCTGTATTTGAAATAAGGTTTTTAATGATACTTGCCTTTCATAGATTTTTGTCATTTCATTTGCTTCTAGAAATGTTATTAGGAATTTCAATTTTTATTGAACTTATGTAATTTTTAAAATATATTATAATTCAGTATTATTAGTGACTTTCTTTACTATATCAACCTTCTAAGACCTACTGGATGAAATAAATATATACACACATCATTTCCCTTTTTTGAGCCTCAGATTGAAGTTTTTCCCAGGGACTTCAATTTTAAACAGTTATGTCCCACCCAGTCAATTGCCTCCAGAAAATTGATTATTGTATGCTCAGCACTATATTCCTCACCCTCTCTCCAGAAGAGTCCTACCATCTGTGTGTTCCTTTGCAGGATATTTCCTCCAGTTTGACATCTCAATTTAGAATTTAGTAACATGATTGAGCTTCACTATGAACCAGACTGTGATTGTGGTCATAAATTTCTTTTCTCTGGAAGGCTGCCTCTCAAATGTTCATCAGTTAGCAAGTAAAGCTAGTCAGTTCTAGATCTTACTCATTCAACCTGAAAATAATATTCTAGAAAGATAAAATAACTTTATGTATACATAATAATTACCATGTAAGCCTGTTTTAAAATCACAGAAATCATTTTAAAACCCTCTTATTCTTTTATATTGCCTTGAGAGACATACAATTTTCTTTTCATTTTGAAATTCTTTCATTTGCTTTGGATTCTTTCACATTACAATATTTGAAGATACATTTGTAGAGGAACAAAAGTAGCCTGGTGAATATAAATGAGAACAACTCATCAAGTTCACTTTTTCCTTGAAAAATCATGTGTTCATTGAATAAACTATGGTTTGAATTTTTGAGAAAACACTGAACATTTTATGGAGTGAATTAAATATGGATAAATTAATAAAAACAAAATATATTTTAAAGTCTTCATTACAAAAATCTATTTTTGTTATGAAGCCATATATTCGTATTTATTCTATTTGACTAATTGCATGGTGTGTAAACAAGTTTGTGTTCATTTTGCATTTTGGCAGGGTAATAAGCAGAAAAGCTAAGAATAGAAAGAATTGACTTTGTACACATACAAGTCAAAAAAGTGTTGAGAACTTTAAAAATCTGATAATGTTTTAAGACATGCTAAAGCAATGCAGCCACTGGGTAAGAACATAAAGCATCCTTTAAATAAAGTTTCCTAGGATTTTCTAAGTGCTCTCTGAAGTTTGGGATATTGTAAATTAAGAAAAACTTTAGTGATATGGCCGAGTAAAACAAAACTAATGGGAGAAATTAGAAAAATGTATTTTATATAGAAATAATAACTGTGCTGGGAATATTAAAGAAAGCTGAGATATCACAATCATGCAAAACATTTTTGAAATGGAGGGGAAGACAATGATGTTATGTTTCACCTACATTACAAATTTCTCCACAGCTGGCTTTGATCCTGATAATCAAGAATTTATTCCAAATATAAGTCCTGTCATAGACACAGCACATGGTAGCTAGTTCTGGTATAATGTTATGTGTTATCTGGGTCACCTACTCACAGGTACTGTATAGGTAAACTGGAAACAATCCAGGGGTTATCCCATAAGTTCCCTGGTCTGCTATGAGCAGCCTAGAAAACTATTATCACATTCTGGAAAAAAGAGAGGTAAAATTTCTACAGGAGAATTATAATTCTCTGGGTCAGGAGCTGTGGGAGCCACTGTAAATCTGAAGGAGCCTTTTGTCATGGATCAGAAGCCAACAAAGAACTAGGGCCAAGCTTTGGGTACACAAGAGTTTCTGCTCCCAGAGTTGGTAGCAGAATGGGCTGCTCACAATGGCCATAGTGAACGCTAGGATTCGGTCTACGGGATTGTAAGGGCTGAAGCTGCCAATCTGGCACTGTTACACTCTGATATCAGGAGGCGAAAGCCCTTCCAACCTTTTCTGGCCTTGCAAGACCCAGCTGCCAGCCAGCTTTGTTTCTTCCCTGCCTTGGTCTGGCAGTTGCAATGGAATACAGGTCTCCAAAGTACTTCCTGTCTCTGTGGAAACTGGCAAGCGGCACCAGACTGATGGCCATGCTCCACAGTGGCTGGGCAGAATGGTGGCACAGAAGGTGGATACCAGGTGTTGTACTCTAAAAGGCAGGCTGAATTCAAATGGATGAGGTAGAATCAAAGAAAAATAAAATATTATGTGGTTGCCTAGGACAGCAGACAACTTAAAGTCTTTCAGACAAACCTAAAAGCTGCAATAAAATGATTTTTAAAAATGACTACAGAATTCTAAGTATTTGAAAGAACAGAGGGGCATTCCAAAAGTGGAAACATTTTGCACTTAGTTATCAGTCTTAGTTTTTCCTCTAATTTCCTATCTCACATGATAGAGCATTCATTGCACTTCTCTGGAGAATTATAAGCCGGCCTTAATGACATTTGTGCTTTTCAGTCCAGTAGGCTTTAGAATGCAATATGTGCTTCAGTCCACACAACTACTGAGCCACAACTTTCACATTAGAAGGTTATTTGTTTAGAATGCCTTCAGTAATTTAGTGGAAGTAATAGCATGCTATGTGTGCATTTAGATATATTTTTAGACTCTAATTTAGGCAACAAGAATGATCTTGAACTTTCTAAGACACAGGTTCTTTGTATAAATACCCCTTACCAGTTGATGGAACAGATGACGGAGAGAGGGGTGGGGAGGGAGAGAGAGAGAGAGAGAGAGAAAGAGAGAGAGAGAGAGAGAGAGAGAGAGAAAAGAAAGAGAGACAGAGAGAGAGAAAACAAAAAAAAACTGAAAATAGTTGAGGGGAAAAACTTAAAGAATAGTAGGCTAGCATTGTACTTCATTTAAACATGTGTTGCCTCTTTCATCATTCCTTGTTGAGTTTTTGTTGTTGTTGTTTGTTTGTTTGTTTGTTTTTGAGACAGACTCTCACTTTGTCACCCAGGCTGGAGTACAGTGGCACGAACTTGGCTCACTGCAAGCTCCACCTCCTGGGTTCACGCCATTCTCCTGCCTCAGCCTCCCGAGTAGCTGGGACTACAGGCGCCCTCCACACACCTGGCTAATTTTTTCTACTTTTTAGTAGATACAGGGTTTCACCATGTTAGCCAGGATGGTCTCGATCTCCTGACCTTGTGATCCGCCCACCTCGGCCTCCCAAAGTGCTGGGATTACAGGCATAAGCCACCGCGCCTGGCCAGTTGAGTGTTATGTTTAAGAATTGTTAACTTATTTTGTATCTCCTGATCCATTTAGCATTTGTGTTTTCACAACCAAGTTATAAGAGGACCTTAATATAAGAACAGTATTTTTGTTAAATGAGGTTCTTGAGAGAACAAAAAAATATTTTAAAAACAACCAAAACATGATGTATGCTATTTGATTCAGGTGTCTATGTCTCTGTTGAATTAACTAATTTTGTAGATTAAGTTGACAGTTTTCACTAAGGACAAATATATGCCAAAATGAAGGGTCAAAATACTTGATATTGTTTATCTTATGAGACTTTTATACTTTATTATTGAAAAATTGTGTCTTAAATATTCTTAACATCTTGTTTTTTGTTTGTTCCTCTTCACTGTTTTAAATCTGGTTCTTCCTTCAAAAAAGTTTTGCTTATTTTTAGGAACTAAAGAATAGTGAGAGGACTTAAGTTCCTCTTAAATAGCTCACAAAATTTGATCATTGACCCTCCAAAACTACCAACTAACTCACTTCCTCTCAAACATGCAAAGCCTCAACCTCTGCCTGTCTCTCTAGGTATATCTCGGGTGATTATTGCTCTTAGAGAGCAAGCACTCATGTGCAGTGTGCACTGATCCACTGCTATGGCCACATTTAATCTTTAGCACAGGAAGAGAGATGGAGAAAACCATTGCCACCACTCATCATCCAATCAAGAGATAGCAAGGCTTGAATGATGTTATTTTCGAAAGCAGAGTGATGCTTTGGGATCAGTGTTAAAACATGCATCATCCTAGTCTCTTTCAACAATACTTATTTCAAAGATCTCTCTTTACTACTTCGCTTATTGCTTTTATGCTCTAAGGTTACATCATAGCCTATCACAGAGGTAAGAGTGGCCATAATTTTAGAATTTTCTTCTTTATGTCCTATGTGATAGTGTGCTGGATTCTTGGTGGTTAGACAGTGAAGGCACCATGGAACATTTGAGGGAGGGACAGCTCTTAACTAACTGAGGTCAACAGGAGTCAAGACTCAGTTCACTTGATTCTGAACTTGATAATTCCTAATGTATTCAAAAAAGGTTTGACCATTCTTTCTCTAAGTATATGACAGATGGCAACATTGAAGGAATAATGGCAACTGCTCAGTCTGCTATTTAAAGATAGGACCAGGAGAGTTATTTTTTCAGGATATTGAATCATTGCTCTTCATTAAAATGTATTTCATGGCAATAAATTAAGAACATTATTTCTGCATAACTCCTGAAACTAACTTAGATGGTTTTCAACCACTGGTGTTAGTTAGAGAGAACTAAACTTGGCAGCCAAAGAAAAACTAGCAATTCAAGATCACTGTTCACAGAGTAGAGGAAAAAAGGGAGCCTATTTGAAGGATTTTTATTGGAAGAATTGTGGGTACGAATGGGGAAAAAGCTAAAAATACGCACAGAAGCACCAAAAAGAGATATCAAGGATGGGTTTCAGAGGTGTGCTGTAAATGTTTACCAACATGCTCTATGGAGAAAATCATTGAGCTGTGGTGTTTGCCAACTTCCCTAGTTAAAATACACCCTCTGTGGTCAGTTTCAAGCTGCCAACCTATGTCACTGAGCATGAATTGAGACGAGTTTCACCTACTTGATGCTCTGGAGCTGGTGTGAGCCAACTCCAGCACATTAAGCTTTTACTTGGATTTCAAATGTTCATTCTCTTATTAAAAATAGGTGTAAAAGGTCTAAATGCATCTTTGACATGTTTGACTATAAACTATGTTTTGCTTTTATCACAGTTGTTTAGTCAGAATTGAATTTACCTTATTTTCCTGGCCACTGAAAAGTCTCTATTAAAATGGATGTTGATGCAAGATTTATTGGACAAGGAAGAAAAGGTAAAATACTTTCAAAATCACAGAACTGCATCTACCTAAAAAGGCTTAGGTAGGGCTTATACTTAATATTCAAAAAATGTTAATTATATGCCTATTTTTCCCTTTAAGGTGCATAAATATGGCATAGTCCTGTCATTTCAGGTCTTATTTTAGGGGTTTAATAGTCAGATATATCTGTTCTGGATCACCATCTGTTTTATCTTCATACATATAATCCTTATGTATTTTACTTATAATTTTAAAAAGTCTTAAGATGTGATACTAATATATCTTTAAGGTTTTTATGATTTAAATTTTCCATATATTTTCTCAGTGAAGAATTAGTCTTTCTTTTTGGCCTTCCATCTTGACCATGAACAAATGCATGAGACTTAAGTTACCTTGGTCATTCTACTGTCAAAAGGGCCCCTGCAAATGCCAGCCATTGTTTTAAGATGGTGCATTTACTTTAGATGATGAACACCTTTTGAGAGCTTCTATTTACTATCCAATATGGTAAACAGTGTAGCTGATTAAAAGATAAGTAAGATGTCTCAGTTACTATAACCTTAATTGGATTAGAATCAAGTAAGGGAGAGAGATATTTACACAAATGATAAGAGGAAGTAAACACTAGAAGGAGAGGAAGAAAATAATAAATGTAACTTGCTTGGAAAAGTAGCCAGCTTCTAAGATTCCCAACTGAAAGTTTTGTTTCTTTTAAATCCTGTCATATGCTTGTTTGATAAGAATGACTCCTCTGAAATCTAGGATGGTGGTGAGCTTAGCCAGACCCAGTGTTATTTTAAAATAAGCTCTCGATGATATGACCAATGTATATTAAAAATCCTTGTAGATGGTAAACAAGATCCATACTGTACCATCTGGGCTGTTTTCTTCCTGGTCATTACACTCTCTCCTAAAGTATCTAATTACTTTGCGGACTCCTTAGTAAGCTTCTCTTTCTTTACCCATCCTTCAGATGTTGATTCATACAAAGCAAGGCACATAGTAGGTTCTCTATATAGTAGGTCATCTATGTAATTATTGAATTAAGGCCAAGATTTTTAAATTTTAAAAAATATATTTTAATTGACAAATAATAATTTTGCATGTTTTTGGGGTACAATGTGATTTTTTGATCTATGCAAACATTACAAAAATATTCCATCAAGCTAATTAGCATATTCATCACCTCACCAACTTAACCATTATTTTTGTGGTAAGAACATTAAAAATCTATTATTTTGGTAATTCTGAAATACACAACATATTATTATTAATTATGGTTACCTGGTAGCATACTAATTTTGCTAATTTGAAAAATTAGTAACTTCTTTGGAAAGACTCTAAGATTGAATGGAGACCTTGAACCATGAAGAGTTAAAAGATAAAGTAGCAGCTAACTCATGCTCTCTTCAGGTTAAAATCAGAAGTAAAAGGCAATTCATAGCTTTGAGACTTTTGACTATCTACAACAAAGCTTTTGAATTGATTTTGGAAACCACATATCCCAAGGGCATTTAGGATTAGGAGATTCTCCACAGAAGCTTGCTCTGTATTGGGAAAAACTAAGTTATTTGACTGCAGGGATTTTAGGCTGCGGGTCCTAGAGAACTAAAATCATACTTCAAAGTCAGAATACATGTGGGGAGAAGATGGAGGGAAGCTATTCTAATCTCCAACCTGGAAGAACGAGGTATAGGTAAACTAGTGTATATTAAATATCTGGCATGTAGAGGACTCTAACAAACATTAGTTTCTTTCTTCTATGGTCCAGTAAGAAAAAATAAATTATAAAAGTAAGGTATCAATAAGATAAGATATTTAGGGACAGTTAGTTATCAAAAATACGTTATCAAGAGGATAAGATATTTAAGAACAGTTAGTATTGACATCTTAAATTTCCAATTTAAAGTTTCAAATGGTGACTCATTTGTTTTCATTGTTGTCTAATTTACATTTAAACAAACAGGGATAAAGCCTTTGTGAATAGATAAGAATGAAAATGTTGAACTTTCAGAACAAACTCCAAATGGTTCATTGACTTTGTTTCACCATGGAAAAATCACTTCACCTCCCAGTGTCAGTTTGCCCATCTGTGAAATGAGAAGGATGATATTTTCTTATGGGAATGTTTTGAAAATTGTTTTGTAAATGTAGTGGATGAGATTTTCGCAAGCATCACTGCTCTTTTTCCACTTATTTAAAGAAGCAAACAGTCTTATTTATGTACTGGTTGATCATCAAAATGTCATCTGGGCTGAACCATGTATATTTTTATTAGCAATTGCGTGCTTTTTATTGCTTAAAGAATAACTCCCTGATTGCTCAATTTATGCATTATATCAATATCAGGGACCCAAGAAAAGTGTTTTGAAACCATTTGGAGCTTCATATTTCTGAGCTCCTAATCTCTGGTAATTATTTCTTCTTTCTGTCTTACATCATGTTTTCTCTGATGTGGTTTTTCGCCTCACCTCACTTCACAAGATTGATAGTTCTCCATGTCGCCTTGCTAGAGGTCACCTCTGAGCTGAAGGCAAAACACATCCCACTGTGGCTCCTGTTGACTTTCAAGTCAACTATCCAGGAATTTATTCCAGACATTTTCTAACCTCAATTTAAAAACTCCACCCTAAAAATTACAGGGCGATGGCAACTCTGAGAGGTTGGCATTGAGGAGACAAAGCCTCTGATATCAGATTTTTTACTTGATAGGCTTAATTTTGTAAGGTGATCACGAACCTCTATGCTTGTGTCATTTAGGTGTGGAAAGAAATTTTCCCCTTCAGAATCTTCTGTCTCTTATGGTGCCAATCAACACACTTCTGGGTAATAAGATTTTTTTTTCCAGTGGGGGAACAGCGCTTATCAAGCATTTTATTTATTGAGCCACAAATAGCCTGTATTTGCACAATAAGAAAATTACTTCTCTGGCCAGTTGTGGTGGCTCATGCCTGTAATCCCAGCACTTTAAGAGGCCAAGATGGGCTTATCACGAGGTCAAGAGATCAAGACCATCCTGGCCAACATGGTGAAATCCTGTCTCTACTAAAAATGCAAAAATTAACTGGGTGTGGTGACACGCACCTGCAGTTCCAGCTACTCGGGAGGCTGAGCAGGAGAATCACTTGAACTCAGGAGGCGGAGGTTGCAGTGAGCCAAGATTACGCCACTGCACTCCAGCCTGGCAAGAGAGCAAGAATCCATTTAAAAAAAAAAAAAGAAAAAGAAAAAAAAAAAGAAAATTACCTGTCCAAAGCAGAAGTGCCCAGTTTTAGGAAAATCTTTTTGTTACATAGCAATAAACATTCTCTTCTATAAAGTTAGGTGGAAACTTGTTATTTTTTGGATAGAAACCATCTGAGTTTTAGAACTTTATAATTTTTTTTTTAACTTCAAGTTCTGGCATACACGTGCAGAACGTGCAGGTTTGTTCCATAGGTATACATGTGCCATGGTGGTTTGCTGCACCTATCAACCCATCATCTACATTAAGTATTTCTCCAAATGCTATCCCTCCCCTTACCCCACTACCCCAACAGGCCCTGGTGTGTGATGTTCCTCTCCTTGTATCCATATATATGTTCCATTGTTCAACTCCCACTTATGAGTGAGAACATGCGGTGTTTGGTTTTGTGTTTCTGTGTTAGTTTGCTGAGAATGACGGTTTCCAGATTCATCCATATCCCTGCAAAGGACATGAACTCATCCTTTTTTTATGGCTGCATAGTATTCCATGGTGTATATGTGCCACATTTTCTTTATCCAGTCTAACATTGGTGGGCATTTGGGTTGGTTCCAAGTCTTTGCTATTGTGAATACAGCTGCAATAAACATGTGTGTGCATGTGTCTTTATAGCATAATGATTTATAATCCTTTGGGTATATACCCAGTAGTGGGATTGCTGGGTCAAATGGTATTTCTAGTTCTAGATCCTTGAGGAATTACCACACTGCCTTCCACAATGGTTGAGCTAATTTCTACTCCCACCAACAGTGAAAAAGCGTGCCTGTATCTCCACATCCTTTCCAGCATCTGTTGTTTCCTGACTTTTTAATGAGTGCCATTCTAACAGGCATGAGATAGTATCTCATTGTGGTTTTGATTTGCATTTCTCTAATGACCAGTGATGATGAACTTTTTTTTTCATATGTTTATTGGATGCATAAATGTCTTCTTTTGAGAAGTGTCTGTTCATATCCTTTGCCCACTTTTTGATGGGGTCGTTTGTTTGTTTGTTTGTTTTGTAAATTTGTTTAAGTTCCTGGTAGATTCAGGATATTAGACCTTTGTCAGATGGATAGATTGCAAAAATTTTCTCCCATTCCTTAGGTTGCCTATTCACTCTGATGATAGTTTCTTTCGCTGTGTAGAAGTTCTTTAGTTTAAGTAGATCTCATTTGTTAATTTTGGCTTTTGTTGCAATTGCTTTGGTGTTTTAGTCATGAAGTCTTTGCCCATGCCTATGTCCTGAATGATAACATCTAGGTTTTCATCTAGGGTTTTTACGGTTTCAGATCTTAATGTTTAAATCTTTAATCCATCTTGAGTTAATTTTTGTATAAGGTGTAAGGAAGGGGTCCAGTTTCAGTTTTCTGCATATGGCTAGCCAATTTTCCCAACACCATTTATTAAATAGGGAATCCTTTCCCCATTGCTTCTTTTTGTCACGTTTGTCAAAGATCAGATGGTTGTAGATGTGTGGCATTATTTCTGAGGACTCTGTTCTTTTCCATTGCTCTATATTTCTGTTTTGGTGCCAGTACCATGCTGTTTTGGTTACTGCAGCCTTGTGATATAGTTTTAAGTCAGTTAGTGTGATGCCTCCAGCTTTGTTCTTTTTGCTTAGGATTGTCTTGGCCATATGGGCTCTTTTTTGGTTCCATATGAAATTTAAAGTAGTTTTTTTTCTAATTCTGTGAAGCAAGTCAATGGTAGCTTGATGGGGATGGCATTGAATCTATAAATTACTTTGGAAATTATGGCCATTTTCACAATATTGATTCTTCCTATCCATGAGCATAGAATGTTTTTCCATTTGTTTTTGTCCCCTCTTATTTTTTTGAGCAGTGGTTTGTAGTTCTCTTTGAAGAGGTCCTTCACATCCCTTGTAAGTTGTATTTCTAGGTGTTTTATTCTCTTTGTAGCAATTGTGAATGGGAGTTTGCTCATTATTTGGCTCTCTGTTTGTCTGTTATTGTGTGTAGGAATGCCTGTGATTTTTGCACATTGATTTTGTATCCTGAGACTTTGTTGAAGTTGCTTATCAGCTTAAGGAGTTTTTGGGCTTAGACGATGGGGTGTTCTAAATATACAATCATGTCATCTGCAAACAGAGATAATTTGACTTCCTCTCTTCCTATTTGAATACCCTTTATTTCTTTCTCTCGCCTGATTGTTCTGGCTAGAATTTCCAATACTATGTTGAATAGGAGTGGTGAGAGAGGGCATCCTTGTCTTGTGCCAGTTTTCAAAGGGAATGCTTCCAGCTTTTGCCCATTCATTATGATATTGGCTGTGGGTTTGCCATAAGTAGCTCTTATTATTTTGAAATATGTTCCATCAATACCTAGTTTATTGAGTGTTTTTAGCATGAAGGGGTGTTGAATTTCGTCAAAGGCCTTTTCTTTATCTATTGAGATAATCATGTGGTTTTTGTCATTGGTTCTGTTTATGTGATGGATTACATTTATTGATTTGAGTATGTTGAACCAGACTTGCATCCCCAGGATGAAATGACTTGATCGTGGTGGATAAGGTTTTTAATGTGCTGCTGGATTTTGCTGGTGGTTCACTCCAGACCCTGTTTGCCTGGGTATTACCAGCGGAGGCTGCAGAACAGCAAAGATTGCTGCCTGCTCCTTCCTGTAGAAGCTTCATCCCAGAGTGGCACCTGCCAGATGCCAGCTGGAGCTCTCCTGTATGAGGTGTCTGTCAACCACTGCTGGGAGGTGTCTCCACCTCAGGAGGCATGGGTATCAGGGACCCACTTGAGGAGGCAATCTGTCCCTTAGCAGAGTTCGAGCATTGTGCTGGAAGATCAGCTGCTATCTTCAGAGCTAGCAGGCAGGAACATTTAAGTCTGTTGAAGCTGCACCCACAGCCGTCCCTTTCCCCAAGGGCTCTGTCTCAGGAAGATGGAAGTTTCATCTATAAGCCCCTGACTACGGCTGCTGCCTTTCTTTTAGGGATGCCCTGCTCAGAGAGGAGGAATCTAGAGAGGCAGTGTGGAAACAGAGGATTTTTGTCGCTGCAGTGGGCTCCACCTAGTCTGAACTTCCTGGAGGCTTTGTTTACATTGTGAGGGGCAAACTGCCTACTCAAGCCTCAGTAATAGCAGACACCCCTCCCTCTACGAAGCTCGAGTATCCCAGGTTGACTTCAGACTGCTCTGCTGGCAGCAAGAATTTCAAGCCAGTGGATTTTAGCTTGCTGGGCTCCATGGTGGTGGGATCCACTGAGAAGACCTCTTGGCTCCCTGGCTTCAGCCGTCTTTCCATTGGAGTGAACAGTTCTGTCTTGCTGGAGTTCCAGGCACTACTGGGATACCAAAAACAAACAAACAAACAAACAAACAAAACTCCTGCAGCTAGCTCAGTGTCTGCCCAAATGGCTGCCCAGTTTTGTGCTTGAGACTTAGGGCCCTTGTGGTATAGGCACCCGAGGTAATCTCCTGGTCTGTGGGTTGCAAAGACCATGGGAAAAGCATAGTATCTGGGCCAGATAGCACCATCCCTTACAGCACAGGACCTCATGGCTTCTCTTATTTAGGGGAGGGAGTTCCCTGACCCCTTGCACTTCCTGGGTGAAGTGACACACCACCCTACTTCTGCTCGCCCTCCATGGGCTGCACCCACTGTCTAACCAGTCCCATTGAGATGAACTGGGTACCTCTGTTGGAAATGCAGAAATCACCCACCTTCTGCCTTGGTCTCACTGGGAGCTGCAGACTGGAGCTGTTCCTATTTGGCCATCTGGCCGGGGAATCCCTGGTAATAAGATTCTTACGCCAATAGTTCCAGCATAACCTCAAGTGGTGCTTGTAGTAATTATTGAATCATTACAAAACTAAAGAAGAAAAGGAAATATATTTCATGGATGTGATTAAGTCATTATAGTGTTCTTGCATATGTAAATTATCCTTGACTTAATGAACTCCCTTGCTTACATAATAATATTTTAACCTGGTTCTAGAAAGTCATTCTTACCCATGTTAATCATGGTTATCAGACTTAGCAGAGTTTATCTTCAGATCATCTTGCTGAAGAGAAATTTATGTATTATGTATCCGTGTGCATAAATTTTGATTAAACTATTAGAAGTGCACTTATTAAGTAAATTTATTACATGAATTACTTTAACAAATTAGTAAAATGCTTAAGAAGAGCAAAACCTTGATTACATACTGATGATATCCAAATTAACAAGGGTCATTTAAAAATATGTATTTTTCTGATTATAAAAGAAATATGTATTACTTGGAGAAAATCGAGAAACTACAGAAAGGAACAAAGAAGAGTATTAACCTATATCACCTAGGATTAATAATTTAGAGTTTGAATGGATATTCTACACTTTTTAAAGAGTACTCCCACTGTTTTACACAATACATTTTGTATTTCTAAAAAGAGCTAAATCTACAAGAAAACCTAGTTAAGTGGGATTCATTTTTTATTTCCTTTATCAGAAATTGAATCTAAAGTTTGAGTATCCATATTTCAAAAACTTTATTCAGGATTATAAAAGCTACCAGGGAAATATTTTATGTTTCCTCTACTGCTTTAGAGAGTTCAACTCATCCAAAATTATTTCAGTGCTTTATCTTCAACAATGACCAAGTTTAGTACCGTATTAACTAATGCAAAGCCTAGGGAAAGTAATAAATATAATATTACTATTTGAATATAAATCTTTATGTATGCCTAGGACAAAAAAAGTTTCCTAGAACATGTAGGGAGTACAAAGGAGTCTTAATTATATGTCAATGCTGTTGTTCTCTGAGGATTTTCAATTATTTTTCTGTCTTTTGTAATATACAGTTTTGTCGTTGTTTGGTTGTTTTAAATTTTATTTTGCATGAGAAGTTAAGGCCAGTGTAGATCTTAGGCAGTTAATCATTTTATGACTTTCATTTAATCAACATTTTCTTTAATCCCCTTTTAGGCAGCCAAGGGCAGTTTCCACTAACACAGAATGTAACCGTTGTTGAAGGTGGAACTGCAATTTTGACCTGCAGGGTTGATCAAAATGATAACACCTCCCTCCAGTGGTCAAATCCAGCTCAACAGACTCTGTACTTTGACGACAAGAAAGGTGAATACATTTTCTTTCAAATGTTTTAATCGTATTCTAAAATATCCTAATTACAATAAATTTATTTTTCTGAGATGATTCAAACTATTCCTTTTGATTACCAAACTGCTGCTGCTTGTATTTAAACATGTTAAATATTAAATACTTTAGTTTGCAAGTCATAAACACCAAAGATAACCTATGTCAACTTTTTAATAAAATAAACACTCATAATTCTGTTTCGAAAATAGTTTTATGCCTTCTCTTAACAACCATTTCCTGTCTAGGTACCATATTTTCTCACTCTTGTAGCTATGTTGTGTATAGTTTGAGTTTTTTTCTTTCTCCTGATAATATAATATGATTTTTATGGAAATTAGGTTTATATATTTGGAAGATGCAATATGATTTTGAAAAGTTTAATGATTTTATTTTCATGACTTTGCTCCGAAACTAAGAATTGTAAAAATGATTCACAGAATGTTGAAGTATTTCATGTTTCCAAAATAAACTGAAATTAAGTAAGAAGCTGTAGTTTTTAAAGTTGAATTGGACTTCATTAACTAATTTCAACTTCTTACTGGATAATAGATTTTGATTAAACATTCCAGAGAAAAAAGGAAATTCATCTTACGTAATCCAAGCAAACAACTAAAAATGCACACAAATGTCTAAGCTTTCATCCATTATTAGATGAAAAAGTGAATCCATAACTGTAATGAAAATATGAGACTGTTGCTTAAGATACATGTATATTATATAGGATATAAATAACTATTTATATATTAGCTATTCTTATTCTTAAAATTAACTATTAGTCTTAATATATTTTTTAATGAATCTGTATAGGTAATTGTAAGATAACTTCAAATCAGCTCCATTTAAACAATTAAAATATCACATACAGTCTAATAAATGTGCTCAGTCCACCTTTAATATGTATTCATTATATTTTGTTCATTGTTACAATTTTTCTTCTTTGATGTCCTCTAGATTTAAAATGAAATCTTTAGTTTGTTTTAAATATTAAATATATAATGAAGGAGTGATGAAGCATCTAATTCATTTATTTGATAAATATTTATTGAGAGTCCCTTTGTACCAGGCATTAAAATTAGGGAGCAGGAAGTTCATAGTGTCTGCCTTTTTAGGGAATACAGTGTAGTGGAGGAGACAGACAATAAAGAAACATGCAAATGAAATACATTATATCATACATTAAAAGGGGACAAGTGCTATGCAGAAGAATGAACCAGGGATAAAGGAACTGTTAGGGGCCTCCAGGGAGACAAAATGAAGAAACAGACAGATAGATAGATAGATAAATAGATAGATAGATAGATAGATAGATAGATAGATCAATTGATCGATATTTATTTTAATAAATTGGCTCAAGTAATTTTGGGGTCTGGCAAGTTTGAAAAATGCAGGGCAGGCTGGTAGGCTGGAGACCCAAAGAGATTCTGTTGCAGCTCATGTCCAGAGGCAGTGTCAGGGAGAATTTCTTCTTCCTTAGGGTACTTAGAGGACTTCAGACTTTCTCATAAGGCCTTCCACTGATTGAGTGTCTCCTGTCCACATTATGGAGAATAATCTGCTTTACTCAAAGTCTACTATTTTAAATGTTAAACTCATCTAAAAAAATACCTTCACAGAAACATCTAGATGATTGTTTAACCAAACATCTGGGAACAGTGGCCCAGTCATATTGACATTTAATATAAAATTATTGACATATTGACAGTTAATATAAAATTTACTGTCATGGACAGTTAATACCTAATACTCAAGTAGAACTTTATTATTTAGAAAGAGATTTAATTTGCAGTTTCAGTTTTCTTTCCAACAAATGAAGTTCTACTAGTTAAAAAAATTAAATGCATACACAAAGTCACTCATAGAGATTAAACAATCTCTTTTTGCTTTTCGTATTAATTGGTTACAAATATTAGTAAATAAATATTTAAAGTGTATGCTCAAATATAAGGTGGTGCCAATTTTAAGGACATGTCTCATTTGCTTGAAACTATGATGCAAAAGAAAATGTTCTGGAAAAAAATAGACTTCTGGAAATGTTCATTACGAAACTAAATATATTATTATATTAGTTAATTTGTCAACTTGGTTATACATACATATTTAAAGTAATATGGAAAAATATTAATTTATAAATACTACTTTTTTCCATCCCTGTGTTTAATGAAGCAATCTTGCTTATTAGCAGTTTTTGAAAGTGTAGCACACTATCAACAACAAATTTGTCCCAAGCAGCAACTATAAACTTTTATAACATTAGAACATTTTTTGTTGTTGTTCATTCATCCCACAGGTGTATAATGACAATCTCCACTTTATAACAACACTTGTACTGCTTTTTAAGGAGATTTTTAAGAGTCATGTTTACAGTGACATCTCCAATCGTGAGGTCAAATCCTCAGGCACAAAGACAAAATCTATATGAAATGCCCTTGCCTCCACTTTTAGTGATTCTATAAGTTATCCTCTAAAAAACATCTAAAACTAGAAAACTAGAATTGATTTGGGATATTTCAAGCTAATGTATCTTTCCTGGAGAAAACAGAGAGCAACTTGCCATAAAAGATTTGCAAAGACTTGAATATAAGGCAGCCTCCTTTTTTCTGAGGGATAATTATGAGGAGAAAAAAAGTCATGCCATATTTGGGAAATATGGTAATATATTCCTGCATCTTTACACTGCCTTGAAATAATAAATACACCAGTTCTATGAATTGTTGAAGTATGCACTTTTTTTTTGGTTTTGTTTTGGGACAGGGTCTCATTTTGTTGCTCAGGGAGTTCAGTGGCACGATCTTGGCTCACTGCATCCTCCGCTTCCTCGGCTCCAGCAATTCTCCTGCCTCAGCCTCCTGATTAGCTGGGAGTACAGGCATGTGCCACCATGCCCAGCTAATTTTTTTTGTATTTTTTGTGTAGACTGGGTTTCACCATGTTATCCAGGCTAGGCTGCAACTCCTGAGCTCAAGCAATCCTCCTGCCTTGGCCTCTCAAAGTTCTGGGATTACAGGCATGAGCCACCGTGCCGGGCCAGGACTGACTTTACTTAATTTTCCGTTCCCAGATGCTGTAATAGCTTAGTTAGATTGGAGAAAAGCCTATGTATGTGTTTGTGTTTGTAGTATGATAGGTTTCTGTTTTTGATACTATGCTTTTTCTAACTCTATTGTGGTTCTAAACGTCAGTTGCAGTAAAACAACAGAGAGCATTGAAGAAAGAAATCCTTTGGCAATCTAACATACCTATTCCCTCATATGTCAGTGCTTCAATTTCCTTCTTCTTTTTTTTTCTTTTCTCGTCCTCACTATCTGTTCCCAAGAGTGGTTCAATTTCTATGTGATATCTTAGTTGAAGGGATTCTTGGACAGTAATACCTATCAAATGCAAGAGTTTGAAATTGAAAGCATTTTAAAAGATTCCATATTACAATTTTCCACACATCATCTTTTAATCTGCAATTACCTAACTCTCACCAATTTTAAGGCTTGTCTTGAGCAAGCAAGCATTCCAAGTTGTACCAGAGCCTAAGTGAAGAAGGTGAGCATGAGTTAGACTAGAGTAACGCATACTTGTTTTACTAGTGAAGACTGCACATGAGAGCAAGAGAGAAAAGGGAAGGAATGGGTTGTCTGTGTCATTGATTATACCATCTCCTGCAGGTGGCTGCTACTGTTAAAGCTTCATCTATAGCCTCACTCTTCTTTCTGTCTCAGATTGTGCTTCCAGTGGTTCTTAGCCGTAGCTACACAGTAAAATCACTTAGGGGATTTTCAAACACAGTCTTCCAGCGGTATGCAGTATCAGAATATTTTAATTATATCTCAAATGATTAGAAAATGCAGCTGTGATTGAGACACTTGGGTTTAGGCAAGTCAACTCTCTGAAGAGTTCTGCATCCCTGAGCTTGGATTTCTGTATTGATAAATGTTACTGAGCATGGAAGGAAGAAAAGAAGCGAGGGAGGGAGGGAGGGAGGGAGGAAGGAAGGAAGGAAAGAAGGAAGGAAGGAAGGAAGGATTTCTGTATTGATAAATGTTACTGAGCATGGAAGGAAGAAAAGAATGGAAGGGAGGGAGGGAGGAAGGACAAACTGCTCAGAAAAAGAACAAGTGCTGATCACTGCCTCACAACCATTACTACTGCTACTATGAGCTCCGAGAGGCATCCCGTAGCATTTCATGCTACCTGGAGGTGTAAGTTTCCAAGGGTCCTGGCTATGAACGAGAAATTCAGGATGGCAGCCCACATGTCATGTTAGAGTTGGAAAAGCCTTGTTTACATGAATTTATTAACTGAATAAAAACATGCTGTGAGTGGTCAGTTGAATCAAGTAAAGGAGAATTAGGCTGAACCCCCTTTCCTAGGGGTCTCTGTCAGTGACTTTAAATGTGAATATTCATGTAATCCTAGCCACTTGGGAGGCTGAGGCATGAGCATTGCTTGAACCCAGGAACCGGAGGTTGCAGTGAGCTGAGATCGCGCTACTGCACTCCAGCCTGGGTGATAGAGTGAGGCTCTGTCTCAAAAACAAAACAAAACAAAACAAACAAACAAAACAAACAAAAAGTGAATATTCGGGAATCTCTTCCCCGGGGAGATAGGAGTCTAGTGGGGGAATTGGCTAAGGTGAATCTAATACTGTCATATTTCTCACTGAGGTAAAATAAAGACGAAGGCAGCAAATTCAAGCTTTTACAACTTTTTTGCCATGTTTAATGTGATCAGTAGCTTGTGTCCATTGATAAATGGAAAAAATAAGACCTAACAATCAAGGATATTTCTTCACAGACATTCAGCTAATGTCTGGTAGTGAAGAACTTTGAATCCAGGTGTAGCTTTTGCCTTGATTTTAACTGAAATATTCCTGAAAGCAATGGCATTTGGACGCCATGTCATTTTAAATGTAACCTGGGCAGCCTCTGCCATTGATCTTGGCAGCTTACTTTTGTTAAAGAGCAGCATGTCATTTCAAACTATTGAAGATATACATAGATTAAGACAGAAGGGCCAGGCATGGTAGCTCACACCTGTAATCCCAGCACTTTGGGAGGCTGTGGCAGGCGGATCACCTGAGGTCAGGAGTTTGAGACCAGCCTGGCCAACGTGACGAAAAACCATCTCTACTAAAAATACAAAAATTATCTGGGCATGGTGGCGGATGCCAATAACCCCAGCTACTTGGGAGACTGAGGCAGGAGAATCACTTGAGCTGTGGAGGCAGAGGTTGCAGTGAACTGAGATTGTACCATTGCTCTCCAGCCTAGGCATCGAGAGTGAAACTCCGTCTCAAAAAAAAAAAAAAAAAAAGACAAAAAGACAGAAGAATATATTATAATCAGCATTGTCCACGAGAACATTCCATGATGATGGGAATATTCCATATCTGGGCTGAGCTGAACAATTCAGTTGTCATGTGTAGATATTTAAATTTAAATTAATAAAAATAGAGTAAAATTTAAAAATTTGGTTTCTGCCACACTAGACATATTTCAAGTACTCAATATCCTCCCATGCCCAGCACTTACTGTTTTGGAAAGCACAATTCTAGATGCTGATTCACTCATCAGATGTCATAATATACCTTGTCCAGTTCCAGCCTTGGCTAGTAGAATATGTTATTTTTAACTGAGAAAACCCTTAGGCTATCATAAAAACATGCATCAAATATTCAATAAATGATTTTTTTTTACCATTTAAATTGTACAGCTTTCAGGGGGACATTGTGGCACAGGAGACAGAGAGTCAGATCTGAATTTAAATTCTGCCTTTGACACCAGCCAGCAGGGTAATAAAAGGTGTTCATTGACACCCCATTACTGGTGGTTGGACCAGAATTGTATTTTAACGAGTTCCCTGTCTGCCTTGTGTGCACCCAAAAATCAGAAATCATTAGCCTACAAAGTCGAAATTCAATTACAATTCCACTTCATTTCTGTACAGCCTAAGTATGAAGTCTTTTTCTATAATACTTAAGAATCTGCAAAAACTAAATAGAAAATAAGAATCAAGAGGAAAATTTATAGATCCTTATGGGTCAGAGAGACCTAGAATAGATGTAGCTAAGGCAACATTCACTTGTTATAATCCTCTTCTCTTTCTTTTTACATAAATCTTAGCACCTCTGTTATAAATAGTTGATAAGCATTTGGAATAGAGTGGGTATAGGGAGACAGAGCAAGTGGGGAGTAGAGGTCATTGAAACACCACATAAATGCTGTGTGGTATTGGCAATGGAAAAAAAAATCAATTAGATCGTAGTGTCTGTTTCTCTGCAGGTGCAGAAGGAAAAAAACAATTGAAGTAGCACAATCTGATCAGTTAATGCTCAGGAAAGAACACTTCAATTCCTTCCTATTATTGACAAAAATACTTTGAACAAGCATCTCCAGGAGCCCATAACACACACATTCAACAGATACATCTCTGTGAGCTTGTATGTGTTTTTATATAAAAATGTAAAATACATGACTTTTTTGTGATTTTCTTCTCAATATTTCAACTTTTAAATTTTTTTAATAATCCTTAAAAATTTCCTAAAGAAATCAAAATAAAAATTTATTAAAGACATAGCTTTAAATCATTGGTGTTAATTAGCCAATTATTCTAATAATTTTACACTAATACTGGGAACAATGGAAGAGGAAAAACATGAGTAAATTGTCCTAAAACTAAGACCGATAAAGAGAAGAAAAATGAGATGAACCAGAATTGGAGGTACAGGTTCTCCTGGCTCTATGCCAATCCATGCCACCTGACTGTATATCTCCACAACTGCTATCAATCAATTTGACAGGCTTTATTAAAGATTAACTGAGTAAAACAGGTGTTGCATTTGGCTACTATTACCCTTCTTTTGTTTTCTTTTAAAAATGCAGCTATTATATATCTGTACAATAAAAATGTGAAATTAATAATGATAGCTTATAGTTATACAGTAAAGTTATTAGATAACTTTCAGCATGTTTACCTTTTGTCTTTGAGTTCTCAACAATACTATACAGTAGGCATTCCTATTTTATATGTAAAGACACTGAGGTTTACATATTTAAATAACTTGAGTAGTAAATGACAAAGCAATGAAGAGACTTGAGTTTTCTGGCCAGGTGAGGTGGCTCACACCTGTAATCCCAGCACTTTGGGAGGTTGAGGCGGGTGGACCACTTGAGGTCAGGAGTTTGAGACAAGCCTGGCCAACATGGTGAAACCCCATCTCCACTAAAAATACAAAAATTAGCTGGGTGTGGTGGCATGCACCTGTAATCCCAGCTACTCGGGAGTCTGAAGCAAGAGAATTGCTTGAACCCAGGAGGCAGAGGTTGCAGTGAACCAATATAGCCTGGGCAACACAGAAAGACCCTGTCTCATAAAAAAAGGGAAACTTGAGTTTTCTTACGACAAGTCTAATTCACTTTGTGTTTCATTATGCTGAAAAATGAAACATTTTCTCCCTTCCTTCCTTCCTTCCTTCCTTCCTTCCTTCCTTCCTTCCTTCCTTCCTTCCTTCCTTCGTTCCTTCCCTCCCTCCCTCCCTCCTCTCTCCCTCCCTCCCTCCCTCTCTCTCTCTCTCTCTCTCTCTCTCTCTTTCTTTCTTTCTTTCTTTCTGTGGGAATTATAGTTTCTGGTTCTGTATTTCAAAGTCACTCTTTCTGATTGATCTCTTCAAAACATCTTATCTCATATTTAAACCCTACCACACCACAATATTCTCATATGTATTAGTAAATTTCCTAGCAAGTGCATGCATATTGAATCGTGTTCCCCTTAGGAATTAAATGGTACATTGCAGTTAAAGAAGAATAAATGGGCCAATAATACAGATACAGGCATAATTAAGGAAACTAGCCAAAATGATGCACACCCAGAAAGTAGCGACAGTAGGAGAACATCCTACTTTGGTGTCTGTAAGAGAAATAAAATTAACTAAAGTTACAGTTATGGGAGAAGGCTTCTGGTTAAGAGCTATGACTGGCTGAGAAGGGATAGATGTATGAAAATATGTAAATTGACATCTCTTTTCTCCCAACCTCTGTTCTCTTGTCAATTCCTTCTGGGCTGATCCCAGATGAAAACCATAGGTCAAGGGATCCTGAGTAGCTTAGTCTTCTAAGGTAAAGAGTGTGGATCTGGAAGATGAACAGAAAGGAAAGAGTATAGCATATCATGCATACACAGAGATTTCTACATACCCAATTTTCAGTTAAGATAATTCCATTGAAAATCTTGGGTTATTTTATGCTTATGCTTGCAACTACCTTCAGTTGCATTGCTTCTCTGGGAAGATATTTAATACATATGTTAAAGTATATGCTCATAGAATTCTGTTTTTTTTTTTTTTTTTTTTTTTTGGAGACTAAGTCTCACTTCGTCACCCAGGCTGGAGTGCAGTGGTGCTGTGTTGGCTCACTGCAACCTCTGCTTCCCAGGTTCAGGTGATTCTCCTGCCTCAGCCTCCCCAGTAGCTGGAACTATACATGTGCACCACCATACCTGGCTAATTTTTGTATTTTTAGTAGAGAAGAGGTTTCACCATGTTGACCACGCTGGTCTCGAACTCCTGACCTCAAGAGATCCGCCTGCCTCAGCCTCCCCAAGTGCTGGGATTACAGGCGTGAACCACCATGCCTGGCCTCATAGCCTTCTTAAAGAATTTACTTCTACTTTTGCTGAAGATGAAGCCATTATTGGCAATTCTTTAAACATAAAGAAAATCTTCGGTTGTGGATTGTATAATTACTACATTTACTTCTTTAGGCCTGTGCATTTTGAGTCCAGCAATTTTAAATAATGATAATATATGCTATAAATTTTGGCAGTTACATGAATAACAACATGTTAAGCTGTAAGCATCAAGACTGAAATGTTGACATTCAAAGCAACATATGCATGCCTAAATTGTTTCCACAAATTTTAATTTTTGGACATCAAAATCAGGATAATTTCCATATTTGATATTATATTTTAGGGAAATTATATGCCTACTTTTGATAATACTTTCTGCAATGTTTTTTGAAATCAAAGTGACATTTTCTACAAATAAGTGCTGATGACCAGGTAAAAATGACCAAATTCTTGAATTAAGTCCTTTTAAAAGTTATTGGCCATTGTTGTTTGTAAACATATATTTTACTAAAACCCTACTAAAAGAAAAATTATTTTAACAAACACTGAACAGTTTTATTCTACCTTCTAATGATTAATTTATGTATTATTTTATCATTCAACAAATATTTGCTGATCATCTACTGTGTGATGGGCACTGTGCCAGGTTGTTTGCAGTTATCGCAGCTCACTGATATTTGAGAAGCCTATTTCATGTTGAATAGAGCAGCTTGAAAGAAAACTTGTTCTGATGAAAATTTGGGTTCCATTATCTTTTAATCATGTGTGTTTCTGGGTACATATTTTGTAAGTACATTTATAAGTTGGCAAAACATACAGAATTAGCACATGGTCAACAATGATTGCAATGACTTTAAATCATCTAGGAGTATCATTTTAGACGGTTGTGGCAGTAGAAGTGGGATGATGAACTGGCTAGACTCAGACTGAGTAGATAGTCACCACCATTGTGTATATATTTTCCTCTCTCAAAACAAAGGAATAAACAATGCAAAGAGTGACCAGTTTCCTGGAAAATGCCTTGATGTTTTTTTTTTTTTTTTTTGTGATACTTTAGATTCCCCATTTTGAGCATTAGTAGCTTTTAAGGAAGGCAGGCTTCACTAAACAAGTGTCAATCTGTGCACATCTAAGCATATTTGATAGTTGAAAGATTTCCAAGTCACAATTTCAGTTCAACTGTATGGATATCTATAAAATATTGCTATGCCCTGGGAATTATGCTGGGCATTGAGAATACTAAAATAAATAAAATATGGATTTTGGCATCAAGTGTCAAGTTGTCAGGTACCATCTATATATGGGTGTGGTGGAAGGGATACAGGGCAAGGGAAATTATTAAGTCAAGCAATCTGCAGGTAGGTAACTGTAATTCTACTTGTTGCATAATAAACTATTCCAGGAGATGCAAAATGAGTAAGTAATCGATAAAATTATCCTTCATGAGTCTAGAAAAAAAATAATTCGACTTGAAAATATTCATGACTGAAAACAGGCTTTTTTGATAAAGTGAATTCCTTTAAAGTAATTATAACTGAACTATGTACCATTTGTCAAATATAAAGAGTAACAATGTACTGCACCGGGGCCTAATTTCTTGGTGACATACTGATTTCTGGTGACATAGTGTCTCCATGTTGAATAGACTTTTAATCAGGATCAGCACAGGCATCATGATAATTTAAGATATTCTAACATTCTCTTTTTAATTTTTTAATTTTTATTTTTTATTATTTTACTTTAGGTTCTGGGGCATATGTGCAGAACATGCAGTTTTGTTACATAGCTATACACATGCCATGGTGGTTTGCTGCACACATCAACCCATCACCTACATTAAGTATTTCTACTAATGTTATCCCTCCCCTATACCCCCACACCCTGACAGGCCTCAGTGTGTGATGTTCCCCTCCCTGTGTCCATGTGTTCTCCTTGTTCAACTACCACTTATGAGTGAGAACATGTGGTGTTTGGTTTTCCGTTCTTGTGACAATTTGGTGAAAATGATGGTTTCCAGTTTCATCCATGTCCCTGCAAACAATATGAACTCATCCTTCTTTATCGCTTCATAGTATTCCATGGTGTATATGTACCACATTTTCTTTATCCAGTCTATCATTGATGGACATTCGGGTTGGTTCCAAGTCTTTGCTACTGTGAATAGTGCTGCAATAAACATATGTGTGCATGTGTCTTTATAGTAGAATAATTTATAATCCTTTGGGTATATACTCAGTAATGGGATTGCTAGGTCCAATGGTATTTCTAGTTCTAGATCCTTGAGGAATCACCACACTGTCTTCCACAATGGTTGAACTAATTTACCCTCCCACCAACAGTGTAAAAGCATTCCTATTTCTCCACATCCTCTCCAGCATCTGTTGTTTTCTGACTTTTGAATGATTGCCATTCTAACTGGTGTGTGATGGTATCTCACTGTGGTTTTGATTTGCATTTCTCTAATGACCAGTGATGATAAGCTTTTTTTCATGTTTGTTGGCTGCATAAATGTCTTCTTTTGAGAAGTGTCTGTTTATATGCTTTGCCCACTTTTTGATGGGGTTGTTTGTTTTTTTCTTATAAATTTGTTTAAGTTTTTTTAGATTCTGGATATTAGCCCTTTGTCAGAAGGACAGATTGCAAAAATTTCCTACCATTCTGTAGGTTGCGTGATTATAGTTTCTTTTGCTGTGCAGAAGTTCTTTAGTTTAATTAGATCCCCTTTGTCAATTTTGGCTTTTGTTGCCATTGTTTTTGTGTTTTACACATGAAGTCTTTGCTCACGCAGTGTGTCCTGAATGGTATTGTTCAGGTTATCTTCTAGGGTTTTTACGATTTTAGGTCTTACATTTAAGCATTTAATTCATCTTGAGTTGTTTTTTGTATAAGGTGTAGGGAAGGGGTCCAGTTTCAGTTTTCTGTATATGGCTAGTCAGTTTTCCCAACACCATTTATTAAATATGGAATCGTTTCCCCATTGCTTGTTTGTGTCAGGTGTGTCAAAGATCAGATGGTTGTGGATATGTGGTGTTATCTCTGAGGCCTCTGTTCTGTTCCATTGGTCTGTATATCTGTTTTGGTACTACTACCATGCTGTATTGGTTACTGTAGCCTTGTAATATAGTTTGAAGTCAGGTAGTGTGATGCCTCCAGCTTTGTTCTTGTTACTTAGGATTGCCTTGGCTATGCGGGCTCTTTTTTGGTTCCATATGAAGTTTAAAGAATTTTTTTTTCTAATTCTGTGAAGAAAGTCAGTGGTAGGTTGATGGGGATAGCATTGAATCTATAAAATTACTTTGGGCATTATGGCCATTTTCTCCATATTGATTCTTCCTATCCATGAGCATGGAATGTTTTTTCATTTGTTTGTGTCCTCTCTTATTTCCTTGAGCAGTGATTTGTAGTTCTCCTTGAAGAGGTCCTTCATATACCTTATATGTTTTATTCCTAGTTATTTTATTTTCTTAGTAGCAATTGTGAATGGGAGTTCACTCATGATTTGGTCTCTGTTTGTATGTTATTGATGTATAGGAATGCTTGTGATTTTCACACATTGATTTTGCACTAAATGCCCACAAGAGAAAGCAGGAAAGATCTAAAATTGACACCCTAACATAAAAATTCAAAGAACTAGAGAAGCAATAGCAAACAAATTCAAAAACTAGCAGAAGACAAAAAAGAACTAAGATCAGAGCAGAACTGAAGGAGATAGAGACACAAAAACCCTTCAAAAAATCAATGAATCCAGGATCTGGTTTTTTGAAATGATCAACAAAACAGATAGACTGCTAGCCAGACTAATAAAGAAGAAAAGAGAGAAGAATCAAATAGACACAATAAAAAATGATATAGGAAATATCACCACTGATCCCACATAAATACCATCTAACATCAGAGAATACTATAGAAATGGTAGTTCTATAGAATTCTATAGTATATTCTATTCTATAGTATTCTATTCAAATTTATATCCTATAGTGTTCTATAGAATATAGAATATACTATAAAATACTTCTATACAAACTTCTATTCTATAGTATTCTATAGAATATAGAATATTCTACCTATGCAGGTATATAGAATATTCTATAGAATACTATAGAAATACAAACTACCATCAGAGAATACTATAAACACCTCTATGCAAATAAACTAGAAAACCTAGGAGAAATCGATAAATTCCTGGACACATACACCCTCCCAAGTCTAAACCAGGAAGAAGTCGAATCCCTGAATAGACCAATAACAATTTGTGAAATTGAGGCAGTAATGGATAGCCTACAAACTGAAAAAGTCCAGAACCAGACGGATTCACAGCCGAATTCTACAAGGGGTACAAAAAGGAGCTGGTACCATTCCTTCTGAAAGTATTCCAAACAATAGAAAAAGAGGGAATCCTCCCTAACTCCTTTTATGAGGCCAGCATCATCCTGATACCAAAACCTGGCAGAGACACAGCAAAAAAGGAAAATTTCAGGCCAATATCCCTGATGAACATCGATGCGAAAATCCTCAATAAAATACTGGCAAACTGTATCCAGCAGCACATCAAAAAGCTTATCCACCATGATCAAGTCGGCTTCATACTTGGGATGCAAGGCTGGTTCAACATACACAAATCACTAAATGTAATCCAACTCATAAACAGAACCCAAGACAAAAACCACATGATTATCTCAATAGATGCAAAAAAGGTCTTTGACAAAATTCAACAGCTCTTCATGCTAAAAAATTTCAATAAACTATGTATTGATAGAACATATCTCAAAATAATAAGAGCTATTTATGACAAACCCACAGCCAATGTCATACTGAATGGGCAGAAGCTGGAAGCATTCCCTTTGAAAACCGGTGCAAGACAAGGTTGGCCTCTCTCACCACTCCTATTCAACATAGTACTGGAAGTTCTGGCCCGGACAATGAGGCAAGAGAAAGACATAAAGGGTATTCAGTTAGGAAAAGAGGGAGTCAAATTGTCTCTGTTTGCAGATGACATGATTGTATATTTAGAAAACCTCATCATCTCAGCCTGAAATCTCCTTAAGCTGATAAGCAACTTTAGCAAAGTTCAGGATACAAAATATTCTAATATTCTTAAAGTAAATTTCAAAATAGCATTATTACTATAATTCCTTAGTATGTAAAAGAAAATCTTAACAATATCAAAAAACTACTTGTGTATAACAGGCAAATTCAATTCTATTTGTAAGCACATAATTTTGACCCATACCAACAAAATATATTTTTGATAAGATGTATTATTTAAAGTTTACTGTTTAACTTTTACCGTTTTTCCTGTTCTGTGTTTTTCTTAATAATTTGCATCAGACTTTTATAGAGTGATGCCCTCCCCCATAGTGAATCTGTATTTTGGAAATGGAGCTTTTTTTTTTTTCCTTTTTTTAGTTTGAGGCAGGTGTAAACTTAGCTCTAGAGCACCAACCTAAAGGTTATTATACTTAAAAACTTAGAGGCCACTGTATTTTACTGTTCCAGTTTCAACATTCCAGGAGAGAGAAATAGATTGGTTCAGCTTATAATAGGTGCCTCTACTGTGCTTTGAGTTATAGGCAGGAGTGTGTGTACCCTGAGCCAGGAAATAACTATAATTTATAATCTACAATGTACAGTCTCCAGTGTAAATTGTCTGTAATCAATGATGATCCTAATAAATGGTCTTGATGTATAGACTCTATGCAGGGTATTTTCTTTTAATAGAATAGATACTTTATGAAAATAATTTTAACATCAAGTACAAAATGAATGAGAAACCTCTATTTTTCAAATATCGTTTTTCAAATATCATTACATGGCCATCCATACAAAATACTACAGCTTTTAATATCAAAAGGCTTTTTTACAAGTAAACTTGGAAATATTGACTGAAGTACACAAAAATATAAACGAAAAAGGACAAAAACACACACAGCGACTCGCTAAGGCAATACTAATTACAAAATATTAAATTATGAATTTATTGTGGTTATATGTTAAATAATATTAGCTACTTTTCAATGTATTCACTTGATTTTCTTCAGTTATTTTTCTGTATTTATAAATACTAAATGTTTTTTCACCCTCTCTTCAGGAGATATTTCTTCACTATTCATACAAAATAATACAATTTAGAAATACCTACTTCTAAATAAATATTTGTAATGTGCCATTTTAAATTGTGTGAGCATGAAAATTACAAATTAGGTTAGGTATTCTACATTTCCTGATTTATTATTTCCCTGCAGGCTCTTGTGAGCCACCCTTGGAAACAGCAGTAAGCAAGCATTTTGCAGCTCTGGTGAAATGTAGGAGGTAGCGTTATTTTAGTACCAAAGTGTGGGTATTTTTAAGAATCAAGTCTCCTGGTTTTACACCTTTTAATGTTGAGACTAGCAAGTGGACTGAAGTACAAATGGAAAGTAGGGAGGTGAAATACTGAGTGATTGCTTTGAGTTTTCCATATCACTCACTTTCACATTTTAGAAAGAAGGGTAGTAGTTTAGAAAGAATAGCAGCAGTGCAAATCTATACATAATATATTGCATTTGGACTTTCAAAGTCCCATCAAATACACATAGTCCACCCTTCTTTTAATGGTGAAAACTGCACTCAGTGAGATTGAATGGGCTATCTCTAAATAGTGAATTTTGATAAAAATATTGTCTGGGTATTGATAAAAATGTTCTCCTGTGGGGATGATGATCAGTTATTTGTCACTTATTTATTTCTTTGCAACTTAAAATCTAACCTCATGACCTTCTGCAAACATTAGTTAGTTGTTCAAAATTTATAAACTTGGTAGTCAGGATAGCTGCACTTGAATCACAGTTCCATCGTGGATTTGTGTGTGATCTTGAACCGACCTTGACTGATTGCATAAACCAATCTCAGTTCCAGCTTGTAAACCTTCTTGAAGTGGAGCTTGCAGTGAGCCGAGACTGCACCACTGCACTCCAGCGTCGGCGACAGAGCGAGACTTCCTCTCAAAAACAAATAAACAAACAAAAAAACCTTCTTGAGGACAATGAGTTTTGAAAGGCCACCTTATCTCATGTCTCGGTGTGTAGGCTGAAACTCTTATCAGAATGTGTTTTGAGATTTTTGAAACATTGGAAAATAAATGTTACATTAAACAAAATTCAAAGCAAAACAAATCATAAGCCTATCATTTAAGGTCTTAAGCAGTTTCTATCTAGGAAGTTGAGATCTTATATACTCCTTTTAGAACAAAAATGGCTGTGTTGTGGGCAAATACCTGAACTGGGCCTTTTAGTCAATCAGACATAAAGCAAAGACCCTGTGTTCTTAGTGCTGTAACTACATTGAGGGTAACAACGAAACGGAGATTTCTAATTTGGAGATTCAATGGCTACTCTAAAGGATTTGGGGGAAAGACCTAAGTGAGGGGGAAATAATTTAAGAGACAAGGAAGAGTTCACTCCTTCCTTTCCTGACTCTGTTACTTTTCATGTTGAGTGTGGGCTCTTTTGGTGAGAAATGTATGAAAGAGGCTCTCCCACCTGCAGGGCTGCCTCTGAGTCTGTGCGACAAACAGCAGCATAAAGTGAGAGGGGGAAGCCAGCGCTGGTGCTTGACACTGGCAGCTACTTATACTGGCAGCTACTTTTACTTTGTTACCTTCTGTGTGTTGACTGGGTATCTAGCAAACCAAAATGTGCATTTCTATTTTGTTTATTACCTCCTCACTAAATACTCTCTCAGTAGTTCAAATAGTGTTTTGTAACTTCTTTATCAACTCATTAAATGATTCTGTATTATCTATAAATAATTTTGCTTCTGCCATTGAATAGCCCTAGCTATTATCTTTTATCTTAGCACATTCATCACAATATAAATTCTTTAAAAGTTAGAACACTGAAAAAAGGAAATCAGTATCTGAACAGCTATAGAAAGAGAGGCTTTGAGGAAAGAGAGGTGAAAGAAAGATAAAAATGATTTTAGCAGCTAAGGTGTGACATCATGATGGCCTGGAACAGAGCATGAGCTAAGAAAACAGAGAAAGAATGTATATTAATCAAGGTTCTCCAGAGGAACAGAACTAATAGGATAGACGTATATGTGAAAGGGAGTTTATGAAGGAGAATTGACTCACATGATCACCAGATGAAGTCCCATGATGGTCATCTGCAAGGTGAGGAGCAAGGAAGCCAGTAGTGGCTCAGTCTGAGTCCCAAAGCCTCAAAAGTAGGGAAGCTGACAGTGCAGCCTTCAGTCTGTGACCAAAGGCCCCAGAACCCCTGGCAAACCACTGGTGTAAGTCCAAGGGTCTGAAAGTCAAAGAACCTAGAGTCCGATGTTCAAGGGCAGGAAGCATTCCGCATGGGAAGAAGATGAAAGCCAGAAGACTCAGCAAGCCAGCTTCTTCCACCTTTTCCTGCCTGCTTTGTTCTATTGGTGCTGGCAGCGGATTGGATGGTGCCCACCCACATTGAGAGTGGGTCTTCCTCTCCCAGTCCACTGACTCAAAGGTTAATCTCCTCTGGCAACACCCTCACAGCCACACCCAGAAAACAACAATAATTTGCATCCTTCAATCCAATCAGGTTGACACTTAATATTAACCATCACAGAATATATATGAAAAGTTTTAAGGCAAGAAATTTACTGGGCTTTGTGATATAGTTAAGCAACAAAAAACTAATTCCCGATTTTCAAACTAGGAGCAATTTTTAGTCTAATTTTGAGTAGTCATGCAATTGATTACATTATTAAAAGATCTTAAAGCTCCCTACCATCCATTTATGGTAGAGAAGGTGTCATCAAGGAAATTAATTATAATTCTGAGTTTCTGTGGAATCCTAAGTTTACAAATTCAAAAGAAATTAATAGTCATATTAATTCACTATATCATTACAGTTTGATGTTATATGCATGACAGTAATTAAGATTCATTTATTCATTCAGTAACAATTATTAAACTGCTTTTTGCAGTTTTTCTAGGCGCTTGAGATTTATCAGAGGACAAAACAGGCAAAACTCTGCCTTCATGCAACTTACTCTCAGATGGGAAGAAACTGATCATAAACAAAATAAATGAGTGAACATATGGTTTGTCTGAGAGTGCAAAATTCTGTGAAGAAACAAAACTTGGGGAAGAGAGATAAGAAAAGCTATTTTAAATAAATGTGAGAGAAAGCTTCATGAAGGTGACATTGCAGCAGACACTCATATAAGGACAGAGAGGTAGAAGTGTCATGTCTCATCCTTTAGAAGGATAGTGAGCCAAGCAGAGAAGCAGCCAGAAGTAAAGACACTCTGAGCATGTTGAAAGAAGAGCTCAGCCAGCGTGAGCAGACCAAAGTGGATAAGAAGAATAGAGGAGAGGAAGGCAGAGGTAGTGGGATGAGGAGAGTGATCAAAGGGGCCTTGTCAGCCATAGAATAATTCTGAATTTTTCTCAGATTGAGATGAGAAACGAGCAGAGAGTGTTGATCATGGGAGTTAGATGATCCTATAAACATTTTCACAGTAACACTCAGGCTGTTATCAGAAAAGTAGACTATGGGGAAGGGAGAGAGGATCAGAAGCAGGGAGACCAATTAGAGAGCTATTGCATTAATCCAAGCAAAAGATGAAGTTGGTTTGGATCAGAGTTAGCAATGAGGATGATGAGAATAGATGGAATGTTCTGTGTATTTGAAAGTAGAGCAAATAGGACCAGCTGATGGCAAGAATGTGAGGTTGAAGAGTGAAAGAGGAGTCATGGATGATTTCATGGCTTTTGACTTGAACACTTGAAATAACAAACTTGAGATGGAGAAGCTTGCAGGAGGTGAAGGTGGTGATTGTTTTGTGGGAAGGTTTGGATTTGTCCTTTTGAGCTTATTAAACATACAAGAGGAGATTACATGATAGCCAATTGGGTATATGAGTCTGGAGTCCACAGACAAGCAAGTTAAAGATCTTAAATACAGAGTAGATATGTATTATCAGGCTTGATGGCTTAAGAAGATCTAGGGAAAAGGAGTCCAAGGACTGAGTTCTAGGATCCATCAGTAACCACAGGTTAAGGAGGTGAGGGGGAGACAGCACTTGAATCATGAATTTAAATACTCTTTTTATTTTTAAAAATGTTTACAAAAAGAGCTTTCCAAATATTGTGACATTTGACTTGCAGAATTCTACTTCTGAAAAGCAGCGATAAAACTACGTTGGCTATTGTTTGTCCTGCAGTTACAAGTTGCAAGAGTTTTGACTTTCATTATCATCCTTTGATGAGTACCTATCCTTATTATACAAATCCAGAAAAAAATAATTCTATTGTGGTTCTCTGCATACAATATGATTCCTCACGCTTGCCTTTGGAGATGAAGTTTTCTCCTTCAAGCATGCTTTACCTTGTCTTGTTCAGCCTCAGAATCCCAGATAGCAAGACAAGAAAGCTTTGCTCTCTTTTCCAGGAAGATAGTTAGCAAGAACAGGGAGGGCAGGATCAGACATCAATAATCTTACTAGGGGAATGGCATTTACCTCTAGGCCACCAGAGGGCAGGGCATCAATCCTTCATCTGTCCTGGGTATCTGCAGAAGCCTCTAAGAACACCTGCAAGTTATTTTAAGTCTATATCACCCACTTCCTACTCTTATTCATATCACTGAAGAAAACAAAGTGGAAACAACCAGAACCAAAGCAAAATGCTCCCTAAATCCTAGTCCTCCTTTAGCTTAATCTACTTTTTTTCCTGGGACTAGAAAGAAAGGGGGCTGTTTGTTTTTGTTGCATACACAAGAAGTTAGGGTATACACTCTGTATACATCAGACTGTATCAGGAACTGTTTTATCTTCTATGCAACAAGCATTTTTCTGAACAAGGTCTAGGTGTGGAGCTGCAATGGTGATCATGACAAACTAACCTTATTCATGGAACTTTGTCAGTACTTCTCAAATCATTTTTGAGGGCCATTTTTCTCTATATATCAAGCACAAATAATGCTTTTGTAATGTACAATAAAATGAATTACTATAAAACAAAATAATAAGGCATTCAAAATGCAAGTTTCAGCTTATTATTAGGTTCTGCAAATATAACATAAAAAATAAAAATGTATGTATTTGTTGAGTGTGGATATATTGGGAATAATATAGATAATTATTATGCTTATAATTTTTTGTTATTCTGGAATTAGAACTAAACACAAAGTTATGAGAGAAACAGTAATTTTTCATATTAAATGTCTATATGCATATTTAGAATGAACATCATATACATCAAATATTTACATTTTAATGTGGCACATGCTTGGTTGTGGCTTATTAATTTATATAATCCCTTTGGATTGGTTACAGCATTTCTTGCTGGGAATAATGTATAATCTGAACTGTTTCCATTCTTTGTATTAACATCAGTTATAGCAGAGAAATGAATCTTAGAGAAATACATTGGCAGTAATGGAAGAAGAGATTTTGAAGCAATTTCAGCAAGTTTAGGATATTTATTTTACAATTTTTTCCAGGGCCAGGTGCGGTGGCTCATGCCTGTAAACCCAGCACTTTGGGAGGCCGAGGCAGGCAGATCACTTGAGGTCAGGAGTTCAAGACCAGCCTGGCCAACATGATGAAACCCCGTCTTTACTAAAAATACAAAAATTATCCAGGCATGGTGATGTATGCTTGTAATCCCAGCTACTTGGGAGGCTAAGGCAGAAGAATTGCTTGCACCTGGGGGGCGAAGGTTGCAATGATCTGAGATCACGCTACTGCACTCCAGCCTAGGCGACAGAGCGAAACTCCATCTCAAATAAATAAATAAAATAAAATAAAATAAAATTGTATCCAAAAAAGGCAAATTTTACCACATTTTCAAAAATTCATCATCAGTCCTGCATTAGTAGCCTGCTCCAGTATTTATCCTATAAAGTTATAGTTAAATACATTTTTATGAAAGAAATCAACTCAGGATCCATGAATTTTCATATGTGGATCTTATGTGACAAAATATAAATTCAAAATGTTCTATCAGTGTTCTAAAATGGTCTATGATAACTTTTCCTAAATGTGCGATATCAAGATCATCACTTTTTCACTGATTATTGTACTTAATTTATGAACCATGTCATAAATAATTGTAGAAACTCTATTATTCTAAGCTTCTAACTTTTGCTTGGTCCTTTGATCCTACCTGCCATTGCAAAGCATGTTGCATTCATTCCTTGCAATCAGTAGAAAGATCTTTAAAGATACCAAATATATAAGATAAGTGAAGGCTGGCTGTCCAACCTACATATTTAAAACTTTGGAATGGGCTAGTTTCTTATCTTGTATAAATAAAAGTTTTTTGTTGTTCAGATATTCTCAAGAATTTTTCCATGTGTAAACTTGGTGCCTCAACATGCAGTATAGGTGCTATAATCAACATCTATGTTATTACATAATAAATATAACAATTTTGTATTTAATGAATTAGCTTTTACATACATAAATCACAAATTTTACGAAATAGCTAAGAACCCTGATATTTAGCTGATACTTCTATTGTGCACTAAGGTTTTCTTGACGAAGGAAGCAGTACCTTGGTTTATGGTCTATATGAACTCCTTAATCAGACTACATCAAAATATTTCCCTGCCATGGTAGCTTGCCAATCTACTTCTAGAAAACAAACAAACAAAAACAAACCACAAACCACATTACTGATTTCTAAGCATTTTTCTCAATGTGTGTATTTATCTCTTTGCTGGTGAGTAATAAACTGTTGTGGACTGGCAGTTTGAGGAGCACTGTTATGTGGAAAGTAGAGATAATGTCTACTTTGCAGAGTTGTTGTTAAGATTATCCATAATCTTCACAAAGTGTCTATCAAATATTATCACAGACATTTAATTTACGAGAGCTATTAATTTGCATTGTACAATTATTTTTCATTTTAAGCAAATCTATAGTACAAAGAGAATAAGTAACAGACTGTATCTGAACTGAAAAAGTGGATGACCTTGTAGAGAAATTTATCTGTCTGTTTATAGCTATGCGTCAACATTTTGATATATAAAGATACAGGTATGTAAGTATAATAGAGTATCTCCTGCAAGAAAAACTAACAAATTGTTAAAGAGTGGTCAATATATAGGCAGAAAAATTACAGCCCATCCGCGAGATTAGAGAAAAAACAAAACAAAACTCAAAACAGGAGATGAATTTAGAGATTGCTTCAAAAGGTGACAGAACAAGTTACTACAGTATGAGACAGTGCTAAAAGCTTTCTATGCATTTCGCTGTTGTAATTTTATTCTGGGACGTTTTTCACCCAATCAAAACGTACTGGAGAAATAGTGGATAGTTTATTTTACTTGAGGATGCTTAAAAAGCACTAACTCATATTGTACTCACAATGGAGATACTGCTATGCACATTTTACATACAAGAATATTGAAGCAGAGGGAAACTTAGTAATTTGCTTAAGTTGCAATGTCCTTGGTGGTGCAAGGATACTAAGCAGTCTGATGTCACTCATAGCCTTTGCTTATCCATGGTTTAGAGTGCTGTGTCATGGATAGTAAATGGGAGCTTAAAATGGAAAACTTAGTGTAAACTTGTGTGGGAAATAAAATGGATAGAGATTTTTTTTTTAAGAAAAAACAAAAAAACTCAAGGTGAGTGCACAGTGCACAAAGTGCTGTGAAAGGTGATGGAGGTAAAGAGGTATGACTCTTTTGTCACTGGGAGGTCTAGCTGGCACTGTTGTCTCTGAGGAATTAAAGCTACTTGTGAGACAGAGAACCAAGTGTGCAATCAGGGTGGAGTCTCTTCATTCGTGGGTTGAGTCTAAAGAGCACATGGAAAGGGAAAATCACTTGTAATGTTTAAATTGTTCAAAAGTCCCTAAAATTGCCCCCAAGCATGAGAAGTACATCCCATATGTCATTTCACTTTCTGGGTGTTTATTTGCTTGCTGAGTGGAGTGGCAGTCTATCCTGTATGGAGCAAGGTCAGGTACTTCATATGAGAAGCAGTAAGGATGCAAACTAAGAAGTGGAGAAGAAGGAAATAAAAGGCAGCTGTGAAAAAACTAAAATTTTTAAATTTATATTGGCAATAAACTGGTTTATTGTATAATCAGGGAAGACTTGAGTAGGGGTTAATGATAACCAATGATGACTTAGTTCTCAAAGCTCTGTGAATGTGATGCCCAAAATGGAATGAAGGACTTCGGGTGGAGGAGATAAATGTGAGGAGAAGGGTTAAAATGATAAAAACAGAGAATAATGAATTTTGGAAAGGAAAAGTAATTTATATTGAAAAATAATAATATGCATACACAAATGCATGTATTATATAAATTGAGGTACAGTTGATCTAAGCATCTGAGAACAGCATAAAACTGATAAGCATTTAAAGTACAATTACCGTGAGAGTGTGTAGTCAGATCACAGTAGAAAACACATGGCACCATCAAAAGGTTCAAGTTTAGAGGGCTTAATGAAGATACTATATTACAAAGATGTGGGAAGGCTTAAAGGAACTAACAAAAGATGAATAGCTCATGGACCAGAAAAGGTGAGGAGGTATTACTTACTATCCCTAAGGCTGATATGGCATGTGGCTTCAGCTGTAATCAAAACGTGCAGCCACTACCAGAGCCCAAATAAGTATTCCACCTTACTTTTCTACCCTACAATATGCTGCCATTGCCTTTCTTTGGCTGAACCTAATTGTAAGCCAGAGGACAGGGGTGCTGGGAAAATGCATTCCATAAGGATCAGTTGCTCAAGACATAGTGTAGCCCATATAGAGTGCAGGGGATGAAAATGGCAGAATCTGACATAGCCACTATGAGTAACAAAATTATTCTCTGAATAATATTAAAGGGCTATCTGTAGGATTTGGAATACATATTTTATTTTATATTTTCTAAATTAACTTTGTTTTTTAGTCACTGTGTACCGATTTTTTAAAAATGTTATGACAGCCACTTTTTAAAAATTTCGGTAGCTTTTGGGTTACAAATGTTTTTTGTTTACATGGATGAATTATATATTGGTGAATTCTGAGATTTTAGTACCTGTCATCTGAGCTGTGTGTATAAATGTTTTCAAATACTAGGTCAGGGATGAATTCTTACTGTTAATGCTTTAATCCTTTTTAGATGTTTTCTTTGTTCTCCATAAATGTAGATTGTATTGAAAATAATTTTGAGTATAAACTATTTCATTTAATAATTGTTATGTTTTACAATTTCAGTAATATCTCTGAAAGTAAAATAATCTAGCAAGGAGATTAGTTTTGTAATTGTATCATGACAGTATAATTGTTGACCTTTTATATCATCACATGCTTTTATAGAAATTCAGCATAATTTTTAAAACAACTTTATCATTCTGATATGACTCATTTATTATATATTTTTCAAGTACATTATCAATCACTTTACTTGGAGCATTCTGCGATACCAATGAGTTAATCATGGCATATGTGCAATTACTGGCATCTGTTACTCTTTAATTTTTGTGTAAAGCTGCCCACTGTATTATTTAATGAACAAATGCACTTATCCTTAATCATTACTTTGCACTCAACTTCCATTAAAACAATGACAAATCAGACATTCACATTTCAATCATTAAAATAACAGTAATGAATTATTTTCCTGGTAGTAGGGTTTTTATAGTTGTTTTTCTTAAAATGAATTTTTATCACTTTTTTTATGGTTAGCATAGATGCAAATGACAGAGATTGTTTTAATAGGCAGAAGTTAAGAGAAAGTGTGAAATACTTCCTCTTTCTCTCACTTGCAAGATGAAAAGATTCCCCCTACCGTTAGCAAATGATAGTGGGGAAATGAAGGATAAGGGTTGGAGAAGAATAAACATTTTTCTTTGAATTTAACCATGGGGAATTTCTGGAAGATTTACAACCATATTGGTTCATTGATTACTCAGATGGCAGACAGATATTCTCAGTGTGTGCTCCCTTTTCCTAATGAAAAAGACTATTAGCCCACCTCAAAATGTATATTAAAAGTTTTATTTTTGTTAAACGGAGAGCTCTGTTTAACCTATTTGCAGAATCGGGCCTCTACTTGAAAACAGCAATCACTTTTGAAGAAATATCACTGCAATTACAAATCAAGTGGAAGTTAGAATAGATATAATGCTGTTACATTCTGATTACAAGATAAATGTAGTTAGGAACTGTTGAGTTCTTTGTGATCCAGAAATTATGTAGAAAATTCTAATTTTACTAAGTTACCCAAATTGACCCCAAAATGGATGGTCACATATGCAGGCTAGAAACTGAATCAAGGATGCTGAAAAGCACCATTAATACTGCCTTTTTCAATGACCTTAAAGAGAGGGTATTAAGAAAATCACACTAGGTTTCATTAAGATGAATAAAATTGAACATTTAAGTAAAGGAATAATCATTTTTGAAAAACATAATATGAAAATATATGACCATAAAATCTTGATAGCTCTCTAGCAGTGCTTGTAGAAATTGCAGTCTCTTTTCAAATGTTATAGTAGGTGGCAACTCAGTAGAAAATTATAATAGCTGTCAAAATTCGTATACATTTTATAAAATATGCATTTTGTTACTTTTTCAGGTGCTTGTAGTAATGTATATACACTGTGTTGCATAGCGCGGTGTGTAGATCCATAGAGACAGTATGTTTTCTTTAGTATCAAATAACTTGACAAGGAAATTATAAAATTCTTTAGAAATTCAAGTGATTCTCAGTAAATTAAGCAATGGGGGATTATTCTATTTATGGAAAGCTTAATCATTTTCTATCTCTTTTATTATTTTAGAAATTCCATTTCTTTTATTGTGTAGGAATCAGACCAGAGGCTACTAGAGAGACAACTGATTAGAAAAGTTCATGAGAAAGGTTTCAAAAGGAAAATCTTCCTGAGGCTTATTTTCATATAAGTCTTTAGAAAGAACAGTTAATGCTGCTGTGCTGTATTTTTCCCAAATGTATTGTTTTTAACTCATAAAAATTTTTCTCTCATATATCGTACTCAAAGTGAATGATTCAGGTCAACAAGATATTTCTGTTCCACGATGTCATTCATGGATCCAGGTTCTTTCTATCTTGTTGCCCTCCCATTGCCCGGGCTCTGTTTTCATTTGCTTGTCTGAAGTTGGTTATGGACAATTCCATGTTTTAGTTTATGAAAAGAATAAGAGGCAGAATAGAGAAGTACACATTGGTTACCTCAATGCCCAGTTCCAGAAGTGGTGCATATTACTTCTAGGCCACAGTAGCTGCAAGTGAAGTTGGGAAACACAGCTTAGGTGGGCAGGTACCACTTACCATTTATTACAATGCAAGAAGAGGAAAATTGAGGTTAGTAAACAATTATTAGACCCTGACGTGCTATCCAAGCTTCTTGTAGGTTTGGCAGAGATTTTAAAGGGCAATTTAGAAACTGTTTGAACTTTCATATTTGCCATAATCCCAAACACGGGTAAAGCAGTTGTAATATATAATATCAGTCGCTTCTTTGTACTTATATATGGCTCATAGGAAAGGTAAGCATCTGTGTTCTAAACAAAAATAGATTTTTAAAATAGGAATTTTAAAACAGGAATAATCTTTGAACTGTAGATTAAGAAAGAACACCATATGGGAGAAAAGAGAAAAAAGACTTCTAGGCAGTTCATAGATTATACAGTTATAATTTTCAATGACACATATATTACGTATGACCAGGTAAGGCCTCCCAAATCTACCACAGTTAGCACATCAGAGTTCAAAAGTCTACTCAGCTAGAAACTTTATACCTATGTCTATATATCGTTAAATGTGGCTATGCCTCTCCTGTTTTCATTTACTTATATCTTGTATAATTCCTCACTCTCTCATTCTTTGTTTCTCCCTGACTTCTATCATCATTGATGTTGTTCTTTCAGCTATCTAACTTTTTTCTCTTAATATTCCATTTTAATCCCCTAATTTTCATCCTACAAACCATATTGTTTTCTCCTTCAGTGCATTGCAAGTTCTGTGAGGGAGATAATAATGACCATGTAACCAGCTTTTGCAATACTGTACCTGACAAATGATAGATTCCCAGTAAATCCTACTAAATGAGAAATGAGAGAAAAATAGAAAATCTGAAATATGAAGTTCCTTTCCTACATTATCTCTTGAAGTGTAAATCTCACTTTGTAAGTTCTTATTTTATCTGGGCTAAGTTGGGCCCAGAAATTATTTTATTTGACCATAAGTATACTTTAGTGTCTAGCATCACCCTATATAAAAATAATAAAACTATATCTCTACTTCTTGTAACACTGATTTATAAATGGTAAGTAATTCAAGATTATGTGTGTGAATAATTTAAAGACATACTTTTAGAAGCAGAACAAAGCAGAAAGATGAGTAATTATATCCTAATTTCAGGTTTCTTTAATAGTAGCCATTCAAGATAATGTCTGTGAAGGACTGGCTTTCTCTGCCAAACATAAGGATCCACCAACTGATCTGCTTTTTTTTTGCTTTTATTATTTTTAATTGACACATAATAATTTTACCTATTTATGTACTAGAGTGAGATATTTTGATACCTATATATGATGTGTAATGATCAAATGAGGGTAATTAGCATACCTATCACCTCAAACATTTATCATTTCTTTGTGTTGTTTTCCAAATGTAGTTAACTATGGAAAAAAATCACTATACATTTATTCTGGGCACTTTAAAATAAAGATTGTATATATTTAAGTTGTACAACATGATTTGATATAAGTATGCATTGTGTAATGATTACCACAATCAAATTAATTAACACATCCATTTCCACCCATGCTGTACCTTGGATCCCCAGACCTTGTTCATCTTCTAGCTGAAAGTTTCTATTCTTTGACTGACATTTCCCCATTTCTTTGCCCCTTTCCCAGTCCCGGGTAACCACTATTCTCTCTGCTCCTCTGAGTTCAAACGTGAAATTTCACATATAAGTGAGATTACATGGCATTTGCCTTTCTGCGCTTGACTTACTTCACTTAGCGTAATGTTCTCCAGGTTCACTCATGTTGTCCCAAATGGCAAAATTTCCCTTTTTTAAAAGGCTGAACAGTATGTGTATATATACCACATTTTCTTTTCTTTATCCATTTATCCATTGGTGGACTCTTAGGTTAATTTTACCTCTTGACTATTGTGAATAATTCTGCAATGAACATGGAAGTGCAGATATCTCTTCCACATACTACTTCAGTGTCCTTTGGATATACCCAAAAGTAAGATTGCTGACCCATAGGGTAGTTTTATACTTTTCTTTTTATTTTTGAGGAATCTTCACACCATTTTCCATAATGGCTTTACCTGTTTACATTCCCACCAACAATGTACAAGTAATTAATTTTCTTCACACGCTCGCCAACACTTGTTATCACTTCTCATTTTGGTAATAGTCTTCCTAACATGTATAATGTGATATCTCATTGTAGATTTGATTTGCATATCCCTGGTGATTAGTGATGTTGAGAACGTTTTCATATACCTTTTGGCCATTTGTAGGTCTGCTTTGGAAAAATTTCTATTCAGGTCCTTTGCCCACTGTTTAAGAAGATTATTTGTTTTCTTTTTGCCATTGAGTTGTGTGAGTTCCTGATACAATATGGATATTGACCCTTTATCACATAAATGGTCTTCAAATAGTTTCTACCATCCCATAAGTTGCCTTTCATTTTATTGATTCTTTCCTTTACTGTGCAAAAGCTTTTTAGTTTGATTTAGCTCCACTTGTTTGTTTTTGCTTTTGTTGCTCAGGCTTTGGTATCGTATTCAAAATATTCATTATGAATACCAAGGATATTTTCCCCTAGATTTTCTTCTAGGAGCTTTATGGTTTTAGAGCTTACATTAAAGTTGTTAATCCATTTCAAGTTACTTTTGTATATGGTATAAGGGTCCAATTCTTTTGCATGCTAATATCCAGTTTTCTCATCACCATTTATTTTCATTTTTATTTTGTTTTTGGTCAGAAGATGTCTTTGTGCATTTTATTTATTTATTTATTTATTTATTTATTTATTTATTTATTTATAAACTTCTATTACAGGCCCAGGGGGTACATGTGCAGGCTTGTTACATGGATGAATTGCATGCTGCTCAGGCTTGGTTTACAAATGATCCCATCTCCCAAGTTGTGAGCATAGACCTGATAAGTAGCTTTTCAACCCTCGCTCCCTGCAACCCTCCCACTTCTAGTGGTCCCCGTTGTCTCGTGTTCCCATCGTTATGTTCATGCGTACTCAGTGTTTAACTCTCACTTATAAGAGAGAACCTGTGGTATTTGGTTTTCTGTTCCTGTGTTAATTCGCTTAGGATAATGGTCTCCAGCTGCATCCATGCTGCTGCAAAGGACACAGGTTGATTCTCTTTATGGTTGTTTATCATTCCGTGAGGTACATGTACCACATTTTCTTTATCCAGTCCATGGGCATCTAGGTTGATTTCATGTCTTTAGTATTGTGACTAGTGCTGCAATGAACATATTAATACATATGACTTTTGGTAGAATGATTTATTTTCCTTCAGATACATACCCAGTAATGGGATTGCTGGATAGAATGGCAGTTCTGTTTTAACTTCTTTAAAAAATCTCCAAACTGCTTTCCCCAGCAACTGAACTAATCTACATTCCCACAAACAGTTTGTAACGGTTCCCTTTTCTCTGCAACCTTGCCAGAATCTGTTATTTTTTGACTTTTTAATACTAACCATTCTGAATGGTGTGAAATGATATCTCATTGTGGCTTTGATGTGCATTTATCAAATAATTAGTGATGTAAAGCATTTTAAAATATATTTTTGGCCCCATGTATGTCTTCTTTTCAGAAGTGTCTGTCTATATTCTTTGCTCCCTTTTTTAATGGGTTTATTTGCTTTTTGCTTGCAGAATCGTTTAAGTTCCTTATAGATTTTGGATATTAGACTTTTGTCAAATGCATAGTTTGTGACTATTTTCTCCCATTCTGTAGGTTGCCTGTTTACTCTCTTGATACTCTCTTTCATTGTGCAGAAGCTCTTTAATTAGGTTCCACTTGTCAAGTTTTGTTTTGTTGCAATTGGTTTTGGGAAGTTATAAATTCTTTGCCAAGGCTGATCTCCAGAATGGTGATTCTTAGGTTTTCTTCTAGAATTTTTATAGTTTTAGGCTTTACATTCAAATCTTCAGTCCATCTTCAGTTGTTTTTGGTATATAGTGAAAGGTGAAAGGTAGGGGTTCAGTTTCACTCTTCTGCATGTGGCTAGCTAGTTATCACAGCATCATTTACTGATTAGGGATTCCTTTCCCTATTGCTCATCATTGTTGACTTTGTCAAACATCAGATGATTGAAGGTATTTGGCTTTATTTCTGGTTTCTCTATTCTTTTCCATTGCTGTGTGTGTCTGTTTTTGCTGTTTTGGTTTCTGTAGCCTTGTAGTGTAGTTTGCAGTCAGGTGATGTGACAAATCCAGCTTTATTTTTTTTGCTTAGAATTTCTTTGGCTATTCAGCCTCCTTTTTGCTACCATATGAAGTTCAGGGTAGTATATCCAGTTCTGTGAAAAATGATGTGTGTAGTTTGATAGGAATAGCATTGAATCTGTTGGTTGATTTAGGCAGTATGGCAATTTTAACAATATTGATTCTTCCAATTCATGAGCATGGGATGCTTTTCATTTCTTTGTATCATCTATGATTTCTTCATCAGTTTTTGTAGTTCTCTTTGTAGAGATCTTTCATCTCCTTGGTTAGATCTATTCCAAGGTATTTTTTCTAGGTATCATGCATGGGATCATGTTCTTGATTTGGCTCTCAGCTTGAACATTATTGTTGTATAGAAATGCTACTGATTTTTATACATTGATTTTGTAACCTGAAATTTTCCTGCAGTCATTTACCATTTCTAGGAGCCCTTTGATGGAGTCTAGAGTTTTCTGGGTATAGAATCGTATCATCTGCAAACAGAGATAATTTGACTTCTTATTTTTCTATTTGGATACCTTTTATTTCTTTCTCTTACCTGAGTGCTCCGGCTAGGAATTTCAGTAAAGTGTTGAATAGGAGTGGTGAGAGTGGGCATCCTCATCTTGTTACATCTCTTCAGATGAATGCTTCCAGCTTCCGCTCATTCAGTACAATGTTGGCTGTGAATTTGTCGTAGATGGCTGTTAGTATTTTGAGGTATTTTTCTTCAGTGTCTGGTTTGTTGAGGGTTTTTATCATGAAAGGATGTTGAATTTTATCAAAAGCATTTTCTGCATCTATTTATCAAAAGCATTTCTGCATCACATAATTTTGTTTTAAATTCAGTTTATGTGGTGAATCACATTTATTGATTTATGTATACTAAACCATCACTGCATCCCAGGAATAAAGCTTACTTAATCGTGGCGAATTAGCTTTCTGATGTGCTGCTGGATTTGGTTTGCTAGTATTTTGGTGAGGATTTTTTAATCTATGTTCATCAGGGATATTAGCCTGCAGTTTTCTTTGTTGTTGTTGTTGTTGTTGTTGTTGTGTCTTTGTTAGATTTTGGCATCAGGGTGATGCTGGCTTCATAGAATGAGTTAGAGAGGAGTCCCTCCTGCTCTATTTTTTCAATTAGTTTCAGTAGGATTGGTAACAGTTCTTCATACATCTGGTAGAATTTAGCTGTGAATCCATCTGATCCAGGGCTCTTTTTGGTTGGTAGGTTTTTCATTACTGATGCAATTTCAGAACCTGATATTGGTTTGTTCAGGATTTTTTTATTTCTTCCTGACTCAGTCTTGTGAGGTTGTGTGTTTCCAGAAATTTATTTATTTCCTCTAAAGTTTTCAGTCTGTCCCAGCACCATTTATTGGAGACATCTTTTCCCCATTGTGTATTCTTGGTGCCCTTGTCAACGACTAGTTGATGATGTCTGCATAGATTCCAGGGGTCTACATGTCTGTTTTATGCCAGCAACATACTATTTTAATTAATATAGCTTTGTTACAGACAAAGCTATATCATCATCATCAGAAAACATGATGGTTCCAGCTTTGTTCTTCTTTCTCAAAATTTTTTGGCTCTTTGGAGTCTTTTGTTGTTTCATATGATATTTAGGTTTTTTTCCATCTGTTAAAAATGCCATTGGAATTTTAATGGAGATTGCATTGAATCTGTAGATGGCTTTGAGTAGTATGAACATTTTAACAGTACTAATTCTTCCAATCCATGTACATGGGATGTATTTTCATTTATTTGTTGTCATTAGTTTCTAGTGGGAAATTTTATAGGATTTAAGTGCCAACCATCTATCAAATCTCTAATCTATTAAGACAACCAAAATTCAAAAATAAAGTTCTTCTTATGATTGTCAAAGGTCTCTTAACATGAAGACAGAAATCATGGATCTACTATTAACTCACTTTTTAAAAATTTGGATGCTTAAAAAGAGAAAAAAATTATTATACTCTTATGGTAAGATTTAAATATTCATAGTGTTATGTTACCTGCCCTTAAGAATTATAAATCTCGAAAATGCAAGCCAAACACAAATAATATTCTATATATAAATCAAAGACTGTCATGAAGCTTTTAATTGGTTAGCGTTTTTAACTACATGGCCTTAAGAAAACAGGCTATAGTGCAACCAGAAAGAATACAAGTAAAAAAGTGTCAACTAATAAGATAGACATGAGGGTATAAGTAGAAAAATCCACTTTCTACTTCCTAATCACATTTCCTATGTATGGACTTGTGTTGTTACAATATATCAAAATATTCTGATCTGCTTTATGTTGGACAATTATTTTTTGAGAAATAATGATATAAACACTTGTTAGTCCCATAATTTATGTTCTGAGTTTGACTTGTAGTTATATGCTTTGTGCAAAGGAATCTGTTGAATCTACTGGACACATGGAGAACAACATTTCCAATTGTAGTCTCATTTGCTGGGTTAAGTTTTCCTGTATCTTCTTGGGGAAAAAAAAAAAAACACGTTGGCCTTGGGTGCATAGTAATAGAATAAGCATTCATCAGGAGATTGTTATATATCACAAATGGGGTTGAGTTGTCACAGGTGACATCTTTAATTTCCTCAATTTGAGTGTAAAGGCCTAGAGAAGTTAATTGTTCAGAACTCATAAATGACACAGCTGAAATCTAACTAGATTAGCCAAGAAATTAAAATTATTGAGTTAAATATTCATTCAATGTGTGGCTATATGTGAGTGTGCTTGCACACGCATGTGTGTGTGAATGTTGAAATCAGAAGTATGACGGTCTCTTGATCCACTGAAATGATAAGATAAAAGAGTAAAGAAATGTGTAACTTCTTGATGGACATCCAACTTGCAGTGAACAATGCAAAATTTTAAAAATTTAAATAAGGCTTTAATCTGCCACAGCTCTGGTATTTTTGCTAGGGTTGCCTTTCCTTTTTCCTCACATACTTGTGATTAATGTTTTGATAGACATATTTTGATAGCTTTTAAAAAGCTACACTTTATAATTTGAAATGTGTGAGAGGTAGCTACTGTGAAAACAGTTTTAGCTTCTTTTTTTTTTTTTTTCCTGACTTGTTGGCCTTATCCTGTTAATCACTGTTTATTCTGAGCTGTAAGGAAATAATCAAAGAATGCCTAGAAGTCAAGCTCACATGGGCATTTTTCATTTTGGAAACTTCAAGAAGCTTTGCTATGTACTGAGTCTATAGGCAAAACAGAACTACAGCTCTTAGTTTGAATTCTCAACAAATTTTGCTTCCCTGATATATCAAATATACTTTAGAGAACTGTAATGCCTTTTGCTTGTTTTTATTTTTGGTGTTTTTCCTAAAGAGCCCCATGTACTTTATCTTTCATTGTTTTTCTTAGAAAAGAAACATGCACTTTAATTCCCAAAGGGCATCTTTGAGACCTTGTTTATGATACAGCAAGTATTTTATATATGTATGTGTATGTGTATATATATATATATCTTGCTATATGTATATAATATATAATATAATATATATATATCCCTTGCTTGCAAAAAACAGACTCAGTATAGACTGATTTTATTATATTATATTCCATCTAGTGTCAGAGTATCTCTAACTAATGAAATTTCTCATTAATTAGGTCTTTTCATGTTACTCCCTTTATTTCTACTGAAAGTCACCATATTTCTAGTTAATTCCTGGCTATAAAGCATCATATGTGTTTAAAAGCCCTCAATGAAGAAAATATTTCCCTATGACTTTCATACAGGCTGCTATTTTAAATGTCATAATTGCCCACAACTTGTCAGTTTTGAAAAAGCGTTTTAGTTTTGAGCTGCCAAATGGAATAAAAATGATGTTATTGACTTGTAACAAAGGGACTAAAGCACTCTGATAGCATCTGACCTTTTATCATCACTTATTTAAAGAGCTTTCAGGGGAGGAAAAAAAACCTACCTTAAAATGTGCAGTAACTTGCTAGTGAAGTGCTTTTTCTTAGTGTAGTGAGCTGAGAAGAGTTCTGGAAAAAAGCCCAGAGGGCATGGTTGTAAAAATGACCATTTGCTACTGGTGCAGATAATAATTTATTCCAGTGAAAGAAAAGAAAAAACTGTGGTCACATATGGCTTCAGGTTTTGATTCTTTCTATCTTCTACTGACTGCTAACAATAATTAAAATTTTTTAGAAACAACCTGATCAAGGCCTAGAAAACCAGTCTCCATCTTCAATCAATAGTGGAGGTCAGGATTAATTTGTTGTTTTAAAATGTGGAAATTACTCTCTGTGTTTGAGAGCAGTATGTGGCACCTCTTAACTATATGACAAAAAGGGCCTTGAATTTCACTGGATGTGTGTGGCATAAAGGATATCTATTTGGAGAGATTTAATGGGACTGAAATAGAGGGTAATGGATACTGAATTGGGGTAATTTATGTTGTGCACTGAAGAAGATATCCAGGGAAACTTCAAAGACAATCCCTCCTGCATGACTAAAACTGAAAAACATTTCAAAGCTCTCTGCCTCTTACATGAAACTAAGTATCAATCTATTGGTTTCAGAATTTATATATTTAAAGATTTTGATACGAGCAAAATGGCATCTATACAGCCATGTGAGTGCCTGGCAAGCTAAAGCACAAGAACAAACATAGTTCAGATAACAGGCAAAGTTATTTCAGGTGGCTTCTAATTCACCATGTGAGAAAGAATATGAACTTGCCAATTATGAATTACATAGGAGGGATCATTTTCTTCTGTAGTTGTAAAAATGAAGATCTCAGTTTCCATACGATATAGTTCAATGAATTTTTTTTCAAATGGCAGCAGTTTTAATAAGGGACATTCCATGATCTGAGATATGATTAGGAATGTGTACAAGTCATGTTCATTTTAGAATATTTCTCATCGTCCTAACAACACAAATTAAAATCAGTATGGCTAACTACTTCATGTGTTATAATGTTTGATGAGTTAAATCTGGGGATCTCTGCTTCACTTCTTGAAATGTATAAATGCCACTAAAATAAAGGGAAAATAAGCATGGTAACTGTTAACTGGATAATGTAATGTTTTCATGCTTCTCAAGTAGAACTTTCTAAAGTATTTTCAATAGTTTTAAGTGACTATAATATTAAATATAAAAAACATTCTCCTTTTACCTATAATTTAATTAGGGGGAAAAAAACAGTTCCAGAGAGATTTCGCAATATTAAGGAAGAAAAATTCATCATGGTGGGTTTAACCTGTTAGAATTGAGGTAGAGCTAAGGAATCAGAGGAAAGACACTTTGTACAAAGTGGAGATTTTTTTTTCCAATTGTGTCAGTTATGTCTCGTCATCATTCTTTGGAACTGACTGACATGCTTCAGCAATCATTTTTGACGTTCAATACACATGAGAATTTTGGGCTAGAACAAGAATCTTTTCTTGAAAATATCTACATGAACTCTGACAAACAATATACTGCTTAAAAGAGCTGTACTCTGTTACTATTCTGCAGGTATATTAATTTAGAGTATATTTTTACCATAACACATAACTTCTAAAATTAAACTCCACTGTAAGATAAAAATTATAATCAAAGTGTGTTGCTTCCTATTCTAAGTAGTATTAGGAAATTATTTACCTGAGATATTGTGATAAAAGTATGCTGCATTTATACTAATTATCCATTCAGTAGCTTCCTCCATAGCCCTTATAATGCATATTCTACTGTTATAAGCACACCAATATGAATTCACTGGGGCATTATCACTACCATACATAAATCAGACGAAATATTTGGTCATTTTGATTATCTTCAATGTTTGTTTGTTTTTGACAACAATATTTTAGAATCACTTCATCTATACATACTCAACTCAAATTTTAAGTGGTTATCTTATTAATAGTGGTTAAAGAACCATCACTGGGGCTAAAGTCCAGTGTGTGGGATCACATTAAATCACTTGCAATCTATGTGAATTTAAACAAGGGGCTTGAATCTTCTGCATCTTTAAAAGGAAACATAAATCAAACTCACCTCATAGGTCAAGACCACCTACATAAACTGTGGGCTCAAGAAAAAATAAAAATGTAGGGCCCTTACTCAAACATCATGACCAATTTCAAGTTGGCAGTAGCAGAGCATTAATCACTGATGGCAGAGCTTGAAGCCGAGATTGGAGCTCTTCTAAACACAGAGCCTTGTGCAACCCACCTTGGAAGCTGTTGTGAAGAGTAAGTTTATAAACTGCTTATTAGCACATATTATGCACTCAAAAATAATTTTAACAATTATTTTCTACAAAATTTTTATTTGAGGTGCTCTGGTTATAATATACTTTTTTGGAGGAGAGGGGAGGACCTTAACTTAATCTCTGCATTTTGGTTTTGTTTTGAAATTTTAAATAGTATTTTTAAAAACCCCTTAGTGAGTTTGATATGCAGCCAAGGTTGAAAAAATCATCAGATATTTAACTAAATTACTTCTCACTGACTCTGTACTGTATCTTTTATATTTATACAATATATAAAATACCAGTCATAGATTGATTTTATTTACCCAGTTACAATAATAGAATGGGGAGGGAATTATGAAAGTAACTAAAATGACTTGGATGATTCAAAGGTTAATAAAGGTTTATTGTCCTTAAGGAAATAATAACCTACAGCTCAAAATGTAATTGAAAGCCTCTTACTGCAAATTCACTTAGGGGTGCTTGTTAAAATTTCAGATGTTTTGGACTTAGCCTGACCTACTGAATCAGAATCTTGAGGTGGGATGGAGAGGGAAGAACATGTGTTTTGTCAAGCCCCTCTCTTTAACATATGCTTGGAAATTTGAGAGCCTTGGTTTAATATTACAATGCCTACTTGTCACAGCTATTCTTCCCTGAAGCAAATTTAACAGCCAAGACTGTAGTACCCTAATTAACATTGCTGTTCACCTGGTGTCTATAACTCACTGTGTAGCATAGGGCCTGAGAGGAATAAAAAAGCTGCTCCGATTTTTTTCCCTTGCTTTACTGGCAAGGTCAACCCTCATTTTAGTTATTGAAATAGTATAATTTCTTCTCTAGTCTGTTAAAGATGACTATTCTGAAATATATGAAAATTCCTATTTTTATATCCCCTTGTCCATTTTGTAATATTTATAATACTCTCTCTGTCTATATATTTTCCTCTGTACTTAGATCTTACATAAAAGGCTAATCACACATAATAATAAACATGAAAAACATATGGTTATTATTCTTTGCCATTTTTTTTGGTTTTAACCTTAGGACTATTTCTTTGTACTAGCTACTCTGCTGCCTACGATAGAGAGCTCAATGAGTGCACATTGCAATTGGTGTACTTCTTACCTCAGGCACACAATTTAGCCTTCTATATAATTGGCATTCAGGAAGATGAGGGGAAGTGGGACTGAAAAAGGAAAGGCAGTCATATCTCATAATTGCAAATATGAAAGTCAGGGTCACCCATTTCATGGTGAGAAAGAAAACATCAAAATCCTATGTCTTTATATTACTTATTCAGGCAAATACTGAATTTAGTTACCACATGTTAGACTAAATAAATGGCTATGTATTCTTTACAGATCTTATAAAATAGTTCATTCAGTAAAAAAGAACCATTTTATCATTGCCATCTGAGAGTTCCGAATAATTACGGGTAATAAAAGAGGAACAATAAGTGAAAGCATCATTTTTTGGCCATGTCTTATTTCTCACAGGGACATGTTCATTAACGAGAATAAAGATTCTACTCAGAATTGTATACTTTAAGTTTCTCTTTATTTGATATATAATTTACCAGTTCACTCTCCTTCAGCTTTTTTCTGTAATTACTTGAATTTTATTCAACATGCGTCCTTTTTTGACAGCCATGTTTTTTAGTTCAATAAATGTTATCAAGCATTCTTTGACTGCTCCTATTGCATCAACTGTAATTAGCTTTTGATTACTGTTAATTTCACAGCATTTTCCCTTTAATAAGTACATCAAAATGCTTTCATTTCTGTTGCAGCAAGTTTAATTAGTTTTTGAACCATGTTTCTGTTTTTCCTTCCATTTTTAGAAAAAAATGACAACACCTACTTTCTTTGTTTCTATGAGGATATCCATGACTTACAATGTGGTGTTCACCAAAAGCGGTCACCTAAGACTTACAATACTAAATTGTGGTAACATGTAGCCTTTTTATTTGCATCAAGAATATTCTCATGTACTCACATACTTATAATTCTGATTATTTAAAAAATATTGTATAATTTTACTTTCAGCTTTTAAAGGTGCTAAATGATTTATTTAAAACAACTAGGATTCTAATTGATCCCTCAATTCAATTAAATAAGCTGATTCACACTCCATGTATTCAATTATATGACACAGAATACCTGTATTCTCTTTTCAGAAATCCATTGTTCATTTTGTGTTAGTGAACCCAACTGTTACTTGCAGTATCCCTTAGGATAAAATGCTACAAGGTATTTTTCAGTGGCCTATATCATAATTAATGCAATTTTAACATGCAAGATATATTTATGGCTTTTTAATTATATGGATAGAACTTTGAAAATAATTATATAAATTTATATGAAATGAAACATTAACTCTTATTTATTCATGTGACTTGAATTGTAAACTGGGCATATGTAGGGACTTAAAACTTCTAAATACCACCAAAAAGAAAACCCAAAAAATAAGCTGAAAGTAACTACATATCATATTTATTACTACTGAACTCAAATACCAGTGATTCTAAATTGGTCTATAGTATTCAATATTATAACTCACTTTATAAGACTGTAATAATTGAAATAATAATATAATAATCAATATTACAGAATGATTGGAGGGCAGTGGAAGAAAAGTAAATGCCCAATTAGAGAATTGATTATATTCAATATTATATTATAAACTCTTGATAACATGAAACTTTTCAGATAGAAATTTGACAATTTCAAAACTTAAAATTGAATATTACGGGTAATGGTATCCTTTAGGTGAATATTTAAAAACACTTTCAGTGCCAGGCTAGAATTACATATCAGGTAGCATGGGGAGGTAGAGGAGTAGTGTAATATAAGAGAGGTAGAGAGGAGTCACGAGCCCAGTGCCTTATGAATTTAGAGTACCTTGCTTAAAAAAGATGAACCCTATATTTTAAGAAGCTTAAAGTTTATTTAGTCCTACCATCTTTCTGATATTACTTTCATTTCCATATTATTATTCTAAATGTTCTTTCAAATTTTGTTTACTATTCTTGTTAGAGGAAACTCCCTATATTCAAAGGGAGTCCACACTGTTTTCAGCTTGTCCTGAAGTACTTGTTTTAAACTAAAGTCTGATAGCTTGTTTCTTTCACCCTTGGGTTTTAATTCTACCCAACCAATCCAGGTTTGTGGCTGTTGGGGTGGACGAGTAGTGGACACAATATCTGTAGCACACATAATTAAGGTTCAAAAAACATATTTCTTTGGATTAACAGACTTTATTCATACCTATATAGCAACAAATATGCTATATAGCAATGAGATGCCTGCATATAACATTATTCTTTGTTTAATATTTAATATTAAACAGAGAAACATAAATTTTATCATATCTTTCTGTGACTGAATTTCAAATGACTGTAATTTGTCTAATTTCCTTGGTATGCCTTTATTGAGAATCCCTTATAATATTATTAAAAACATTTCAGGGCTTGTGATTTGTAAAATTATAGTTTCTGTCTTGTAACTAATTTTAATGTATTTTTATTTTCTATAACAAACCCCTTTATCATGCTCACATTACTTGTATGTTATGCTTTTACATTTAAAAAAATTATTTGCTTTAATGCATAAATTTTCCAATCCTGCGGCTGCTGCAGAGGTTAAAAAAGTCTACCAAGAAAACATTCACCATGAACTCTCGTGATTAGTTTCTTTGTGTATTGCTCCAGAGTAAAACAAATCAGCACTAGAAGGAAAATCTGTTCTGCGAGGTCCCACACTGCTGGTCTAATGACCTATCCCCACAAGAGGATTGAATAGAGTAGATCCACTGTGGCTTCCCAAATGGCTGAGGCTGGCAGCCTCTGGAGATGAGGAACAACAGCTGAGGTGATAGAGAAAATAAAATGTTCTGCTTGAATGCAAGTTATATTTGCCTGTCTTCCTCAACCCTCTTTCAAGAAATGTTGCCATTTCAGACCAGGACAGCTGCTATTTTTTTCATTTTTAGTTTTTCAGTCAAAGCTTCATGGAAAAACTAGACTTGGATCAATGAGACTTATCTTCTTGGGCCAATTAATTTCCTGTCCACAGTCTCTTAAATTCATCTCAAATCTAAACTTCCTTCAGAAAGCTTCCCTACCGATGAGGTAACATCACATGTCTTCTTGGCAAGGTTAGGAAGCAGGGAAGCCATATGTCCACACCCGCTTCCTTCTCTGCAGATCTCATCTAGGATTGAGGATAAAGAGAGGGTGTCCCCTATATTTTAATTCAACTTTTCATCTGTTTATTAAACTTAGTCTTATGTCTTTCTTTCAGTTATCATGATTTTACCCTTACTGTTAACTTCTTATAGGAGACATCTATGTCTCATAAATAATTATATTAAATTCATTAGATATTAGATTCATAAATTAGTAGATATTATACACAAAAGTTATTTAGCATTGATTCCTATACGTTAGAGAGCAGATTAAAAATATTTAAAAAGATACACAATTGTGGACATGCATTCATATAACTGCCAGTTACAGGTAAAAGCAAAACATAAATAAATAATTGTAATTATATACTAGTAGTACCTATGTATATTGGCAGAGGAAATAGAAAAAGGAAACCGTATAACCATGATTAAATGTTTAGCATTGTCATGGCTTTGGAAGCTGCCATGGTGCTTAGATACACTAGACACATCTTTTGAAAAATGCATTTTGGAAAAACATGGAATAATAACTAAGATTCTTTCAGTTTTGAGATTATATTTAGAATCCATTTATGAAATTGAAAAATCTTATTTCATTTAGATAATATTTTGCTTTCTTTGCTGACTTTAAGTGCATGGGAATCAATAGCAGAAACATCGTCATCTAACCCCAGCCTTAGTAATGTATCTTTGTCTTTAAGAATACGGTCTTTCTCTCTCTCTCTTTCCTCCTACCCAACCCCGCCCCCCAACCTTTTCTTTCTCTCTTTAGTGGAAAGTTACAATAGGATATATGGTGATTCTTTAACTTTTATCATTAAGCAAGATATTAACTACATATTTCAAACTTTGTCTTATATTTTTTATTTAAAGTAAGGTGGAATACAAATTTTTTCTCAAATAAATATTTATATGAGGTTTTGTAACCATCCCATTATGTTGATTTTCAATAGTAATAAATATCTAATTCAATATTCTCTCATCACTTTAATTAAATGTGAGTAAAACAGAAATAAAAATGTTAATTAACTATATGTAAGATTATCATTAATACATGTTTAAGCTGGCTTTTCTCCAAGCTCAGCAGTGCATTTGAAGATCACGTTAATGCTCCAGGTAAACAACAGAAGCTAAAACACCAGGAGAAACTCTAATGCAAATATGTTAGACAATGTTCCAAATAGACTTGAGCAAGAATTTCTATTATAAATCTTTTCAGAAAGTGCAGTTTCATGTGAGTGTATGTGTGTGTGGGGGGGGAGCGGTTACTAAAAAAACAAACCTGATGCTCTTAGTTTAGATATTACTAGCACCCAGGGAGTGCAGACTGTTTAAGAATTCGGGTTCGGTAGCCAGGCTTTACGGATCGGTCCCAGCACCACTTCTTCATAGCCGCATCTCATCTGATAGGGGACTGAAGCTTTCTAAGCTTTAGTTTTCTCAGCTCTCCAATACAGATAATAATTTTAATAATATCTTCCTTACAGAGTTCTTGAGAAGAATATGTGAGATAATCCAGCTATCAGAGATTTCTGATCTACAGAGAACCTTTTTTCAATATTATAGAATAATAGATAATTAGAAAAGATCACCAAATTTGTCATCATGAAGAACAGGTTGGGCTCGATGGACTAAGTTTAGAGTTCTCTATATTTTACCATACTTTGAATTTTTTGTTATAATATTTTTTTATTTAGTTCTTTTGGAATAAAAACAAACCCTTTTTTAAAATGTGTTTTTAAAATATGTTTAAATTTCCGTAGGAAATATATAAGGCATATTTGCTGCTGTAGCTTTAAGGGGATTGATACAGGCACAATATATACCCCTAAAATGAAGAAAGAAACAATGAAAAGGAGAGTAATGCATTAGAAACAAATGCAACTTTCTGTTCAGTCATATTTGGAACAATATAAGTGCAACACTTTCTGAAGTAAATACTCAGTTCATCAGTGATTAAGATCATTTGTTCTTCTTATATTGCTATAGATAAAATAACCATATTTGAAAAGCAAGTTCCAAATGTATACCTCTAATTGTGAATCTAGTCTCCTAATAATTCTTGATATTAGTATATTAATAATACACACATGTATACCATATGTAACGAGTGTACACACACACACATATTGCATTCGGAGCAGTCAGGTCATCTTAATTAACTGGATTCTCTGGAGTTGACTTTTCTTCTTCAGTCTAATTCCTGTAAAAAAATGAGCTTTAGTCCAGGCGTGGTGGCTCACACTTGTAATACCAGCACTTTGGGAGGCTGGGGTGGGAGGATACGTTAAAGCGAGGAGTTTGAGACCAGCATGGGCAACAGAGTGAGATGCCTATCTTTACAAAAATGAAAAAAAAAATTAGCCAGGCACGTTGGTATGCACATGTAGTCCTAGCTACTTGGGAGGTTAATACAAGGAGGTTCACTTGAGCCCAGGAGTTTGAGGCTGGAGTGAGCCATGATTGAGCCACTGCACTTCAGCCTGAGTGACAAACTGAGACTTAGTCACAAAAAAAAAAAAAAAAAAAGAAGAGCAAAGAAAAGAAAAGAAAAACTTGTAGGCACCATCTGATGTCCAAGCAGTTTATTCTGGCATGGCTCTCACAAGACAGATAGCAGGACAGGCTGGTAGCCCGGGCCAGTCACAAGATAGATAGCAGGACAGGCTGATAGGCTGGGCCAGATTCAGTCAGGAGTCAGATGACCAACTCACGGGGAAGGTCTCCCTCCGGAGACCACTCTCAGAGTTTGGAAGATTCCTTCTCCTTTCTTGTAACTATGTTCAATCCAGATCACTTACCAGATGTTTCTTTCATGAAGGAAGTTTAAGCTATTCCTGTAAAGTTATGCTTTAAGATTCATGAAGCTTTAAGATTGTTCATTCATGAACAATCTCTGTGCTGAGGTGGCCTCCTCCGTAGGGCAACCAAAGTTTTTAGGTCTCATTGTCATAAAGACATGGTAATCCCAGGCCAGAGTTGGAATACCCCAAGTTAGATTATGTCAGATTATATCATGTGCTAAGTGGCACAGGATGTAGGCCCAGCGGGATGTTTGAGTGGGCCTCAAGGCTATCATTAATCCTATATCCACAATACGTGCCTTATAGAATACTACAACACTATATGTAAATGAGAGATGATAAAACAAATCTTAAGAAACTCTATTAATTTTAACATGGTGTTTAGAAATCTGAATGGAATATTTGGTTTTCTTCAGGGAAGCTTTGGTGGTGGTGGCTCTGAGATTTGGTGCTGTCCTGGTATTGGGCTACACTGGTGGCCTTGGGTTCATAGTAAACTCTTAATGACTATAGAGCTGGGGTTCTACTGGGGTTGGTGGTGGGTCTGCCTGGGATATTCCAGGACAGAGGAGGATTCCAAATAAAAGAAAGAAAGCACAGGCCAATCTTTTCATAGGAGAGACTCAGAGAAGTTCTGCAAAGCCCTTTGAATTCTGAAATGTTATTACTCTTATGTATTTTAGATAAAGTATCAAACTTCAGAACACACAGGGTCATAAGAATAGAAGGTTTTTACTAATAGAGAGATTATTGCATTTTTAGTAAAAAAATGACTATTTGGAATATTTTCTAGCGTTGCATTTAATATTTCTATTTCTAAATACTTAATTTAGAAAAGCTAACTTTCATTTATTTGCTTAATCATTCAGTCAGTATATGATACATACCCACTGTCCTCTAGAATGACTGAGCAACAGAGCTGTATAGAGGAACACTTGGGAAGAGGTAGATTTTTTTTGTTGTTTCAATTTCTTATATGCCAATTCCTAACTCTCCAAGTTGGCGATATCTAGAACACATGGGTTTGCATGTCAGGAGTCAGGTTATTCAGAAAAGACATTGCCAAAAATGCTGAGTTTTAAGGGTATGCAAATATTTGCAGTTAAGCAAAAATTAAAATATATTTCAAGATTAAGGCTATGTGTGGTGGCTTACACCTGTAATCCCCACACTATGAGAGGCTGAGGCAGGACAATCGCATGTAGCCAGGAGTTTAAGACCAGCCTAGGTAACACAGTCAAACTCTCTCTACAGATTAAAAAAATCAGCCGATGTGGTGGTGCATGCCTGTAGTCCCAGGTAATTGGGAGGCTGAGGCAGGAGGATTGTTTGAGCCCAGGAGTTCAAGTCTGCAGTGAGCTATGATCATGCCACAGTACTCCAGTCTGCGTGACAGAGTAAGATACCATGTCTAAATAAATAAATTAAAATATAAGATTTTGCGTCTATTTTTTCCTTTGGCCATTGAGTGAATATGATGACAAGCATAGAGCCCCACCAAAATGAGTGTAGGATTAAGATGGTATCTGCTTAATTGGTAGGACTGCTGAATTTCACTGCCAAAGCACTATGAATCAATATTATTTGCAAGTCACAGTGTTTTCCATACCAGCACCATGGGCTTCAAGGGAACTACTGATGTAATTTAGGGCAAATACCAGTAATGATGTTGACATTAGCAGTGTGCCAGGCTGTTAATAACTTTTGCTCTAGTGTACTAATTCATACACCTTATGGATTTGTTAGCATAGTATCACCAACAAAATCTAGAACACACTAAGAGGCTTTTTATCCACTTAAGTAGCAAAGTAAAACAAAACAAAAACAATGAGTCATCAATGATATGTTTTCCATTAATTTGGTATCTGCATGAATCTCAAAAAGTCAACCATTTTCACCATAGTGATCTAGGTAAGATTTGCTGGGATCACATAGGAAATCAGCTACCCGGTGATTAGCACATGGCAAGATTTCAGAAAAATACGGCATCAGAATTGAAGCTTTAAAGTTTTCAAGTGCTTCAGATGGGAAATGTTAATTTGTACAATGGTGGATTTTATTACTTAAAATTACTTAAATTACTTAATCTTAAAAATGTTCTTGGAGAAATAATTACTTAAAATGCAAAAATATCTCCTATCATTTCTATTTTAATGAGCTACATATTTGCTTTAGAGTACCTATTAGCACACTAGAAGCTGTCAAATCGTTCTCAGAAAGAGTGGAAGAATTGGCCAAACAAGGATGTGGGTATAGGCTTCTATCATATTGTTGACATTAAAGAAAGCCAGAATCCCTTAAAAGGCCCATTAATGGATAAGCAATTATATTTTTAATTAATTTAGGGCTATAACTCTGAGGAAGGTAAAGTTTAGATTATCAATTATTTGCTACTCAGAGATATAAATATGCTTTTATCTACTGCCGTCCTTGGCTGAACCAGTTCTAGCCACCTATTTTTTTCTAGTCTTGTATTAGGATGTCTTATGTTACTTAATTTATTAGTTATTTGATAAAAATAAATCATATAACTGCCACCTTGTTTAATTTTCTGTATGGAATTAATACATTTTTTATCATTCGATAGTCAATTTTCTTTTTATACTCATAATTTTTTTAATTAATGTTGATTGTTTCTCTTATGAAACATTTTTCTCATTGCATATTAGCTATTACCTAATGAACTATCTGGATTGGCTGGGGGAGTTAGTAAAAACTGAGTAGATCAGCAAGAAAATGTATTTATCTCAGATAATTCTTCCATTACAACTTAAAAAATGTATATTTTTAGTATATGCACCAATTATCAATAATTGCTATCTCAGTATTGGATTCATCATATCTCATCCCCAATCTTAAAGGACAAAAGGTTAGGGTGTGATTTTATTATTTTCCTTATTTCTCCTATTATATTTTAAAATGTATATTTAGCTGGATGCATTTCATGTTTCTCTTAGTAGTATGCAATATAACATTTTGAGAAGGAGATAATTAAACCATAAAATAATCAAAATTTAAAAAAGTGAAAAACCTGAATTTGATTTTTCAGTGAGTTTGATGAGTTGTGCAAAAACTAATTTAAGATAATTGTGTTAATGCAATAAAATATTTATTATAACTGCATTTTATTTTCTGGCAATCTTTAAGTTACTACCTGTGTTAGTACATGGTTCACTTTGGTTTGAGTTCTTAACTTTCAGTCATAATAAAAAATACAGTAAATCTTATTTTTACTATTTTTTCTAAATAATGCTTTTAAATGATTTTTCCCTGAACCCGAATTTAAGAAACGCATACAACAGAATAACTGGAATAAATTATGGATAAATATTTCCTTTGGTTTTATTTAATGAACAACTTCATGTTACTGACTACATGTCAGGCACTGGTCTACTTCATTTCATCACAAACAAACTAGAAACAGATTTTTTTTTAGTCTGTATTACAGATGAAAAAAATTGAGGCTACGACAAATTTAAATACTTTTACTAAATTGACACATCTGAACAAATTGGCAGATTCAAGACATGAATCCGGGCAGTCTATACTTCTCATATTCCAATAAGTAAAAACTATTCACATGGCCCAAAGAGATGAAAAGGAACTGTGGGATGATATTTCTCTGGGCCAGTGCTTCCTACAGACAGTTCCAGAGAATGGCAGAAGGAACCTGGATTCCAGGAGGACAGCAAGCCACCTCTGTCACAGTTGTGTTACATAAATGTGAGCCAAATTCGTATTTATACACAGGAAATGCTATTGGCCAGTTCACTGATTACTGTCAGTCTTAGTAATATTATGAAAAGTCAGTAAGATTATATACTTTCTTAGAACTGTATTGTTTCAACAATAATAACCTCATGATGTTCTCCATTTGAACAAATACTGTTATCTTAGGAATCGTATATATGCTACTGTTTACTGAATTAGCTATTTCTATTTTCTGAAGAATTTTAGCCCAAAATGAATTACTCTAAATAAAAACCACCATTCTTTTCTCTTGTAAAACATATCTGGAATTTCAAAATAACCTTTTCCCAAAAAATACTTCTAGCTTCAGAATTTGGCAAAAGTCACGCCTAATTTAACATCGTGAATGTAACACAATTACATTTTTATTTTATTAGAAATAAACTGTTAAAACAGCTTTCTGTGTTATTTATCTGCCTAGCTTATCATGAACACCACATTTTGAGTATTAATCATCATATATAAGCCACGCCTGGTGTTTAGCACCAGAATTTCCAAGGTAGGGAGATTATTTATTTGTTTGTTTTTCTTCTTATTGTGGAATATTTTGGGGCTTGACTTTAATAGCCATACTCTGGGGTAGGATGTGTTCAAATTTAGTAAATGCTAGATTTAAAAGTACAATGAATAAATTAGATGTAGTGCTTCTCAGAGACTTTGCTCTCAAAAACTCTTGCAAACAGAGTATTACCAAGAAAATGATTTAACAGGCAGATGTTAAAGTTTGGGACACACTAATTTACACCGATATAACTGAAGGTATTTTTAATTCAGGATACCGTAAAGAACTGTTAAGAATAAAAGAATTGGTAAAAAGGAATGAAAACTTAGTATATTTTACTCTTCGTTAACTCAATACTTCTCAAATGTTTTCAGGTCTTGACACAGATAGAAAATGACAATATTTATATGGCAGCAAACTAGTGTAAATAAATAAGGTTGCTTGTGGCTGGAAACTATAGGTCCAGCGGCTCTATCTGCCTTAAAAGGGCCGAAAGGATTATTATCACTGTGCCTGCCAGTTACGGCAAAACAAGTTATGGTACATAAAAAACCAAGGCAAACTTGATCAGTGTGGCTACCTAACTGCTCTCTGTTCTGGTCTGTTGCAATTCTTTTTTTTTTTTTTTTTTTTTTTTTTTTGAGACAGAGTCTCGCTCCGTCGCCCAGGCTGGAGAGCAGTGGCGCGATCTCGGCTCACTGCAAGCTCCGCCTCCCGGGTTCACACCATTCTCCTGCCTCAGCCTCCTGAGTAGGTGGGACTACAGGCGCCCGCCACCACGCTCGGATAATTTTTTGTATTTTTTTTTAGTAGAGACGGGGTTTCACCATGTTTGCAAGGATGGTCTGGATTTCCTGACCTCCTGATCCGCCCGCCTCGGCCTCCCAAAGTGCTGGGATTACAGGCGTGAGCCACCGCACCCAGCCTCAATTCTTGTCATAAGACGTTCCTTTCTCTTTGTGGATTGGAGTATTCTGTACTCTATGCCTGTGTGTGGGTATCTGTTATCTCTGAGTTATTCCTGTTTGCATAAAGTTCTTACTGTTGCATCTTCGAATGCTGAAGGGTTTATTTTATAAGTTTAATCTTAGTGTTTTGAGTAAGCTTTGTGAAAGCAAAGATTTCTTCCAATATGTTTTGTGCGTGGTTGGTTGCCTGTAAATGGAATATAGTCACTCTGTCTTGCTAATCTGAGTTTTTGCAGTCCTTTACTGGATGCCGAGACCTCTAGCACACTGTAGCAATGGGAGGGACATTCAAAATTATTTTGGGAGGAAGGGTCTTATTTATTATTTGATCCAGTTGAGAGTAGTCCTCTCTTGCACATAAATTTAGATACATGGCACTTCCAATGCAACCCTCAAAGTCTTTCCCCCACTATAAACTTTTGAGTCATTTTATGCCCCAAATCTTACAGGACACACTAAAACATTTTAATTGTGTAGTTTAAAATAAACATATGCTTTTGAATATGTTTTGCAAGAAAATTTATAATTAAATGAGCTATTTCCTGTTTAAATTTAGAGGCTAGAGGACAGTTGTGACATTTTACAATTGTTTCTCATGATTAATTGAAATAAGCATAAGAAGGTGAAGATCTTTCCAGCTGTGAATTCTCTGTCAGAGTGATTTTTCCTAAATTGCTCACAGTTGTTCTACTATTTGTCTTTTCATGTAAAATCACTTTACAAACAAGGGTGAAAGTCCAGCCACTTTTAATGTTTGAGGTCTGTAAAACAATTCAAATCTCCTCTTAGGAACCAGAACACTTTTTAGGACCAGATTTTGTATCACTTTTTAAAATACAAAGAAAATAAAAATGTTTTTATTGTATTATTCCAGTTACTTTATCATTTTTCATGAATTTAAGTCCGAGAATAAGCACAGCTTAATATAAATTTACTGAAATCAGTTTTCTACTATCAAACACTTTGTCATACTAGATACTATAGTGTGTATGTTGGTGTCTCTTCAAAATTACATTTAACTGAGACCAGAAAACTACATAACAGCTAAACTCAGCAGAGTAGTGGCAGATGGGATATTCAGAACTAGACAGAATCTAGAGAGATTTTAGAAGTAGAATCTATAGATCTATGTATATAAGAAATGAAGAAAAGAAAGACACCAAAGATTTTCATCTTGAACAACTTAGGTGATGGGGATGCTATTTGGTGAGTTAATGAAGAATGAAGGAGAACAAATGTGTGTGGGAAGGGTTTGGGTGGAGAGGAGGTTGAGTAATTAAGTGGTTTATGTTAACTGTTTCTTAAGTTTGAGATTCTTGTAATATAACTACATGGCAATTTTATGTACCTACATGGATCTGGAGGTCTGAGGCTTATCCGTATTACTGCAAATGCCTTTAAAATAACTGTTCTTTCCATCCACATATAATTTTTCTAATCTGTAATGAGTTGGATTTTCATTTATTCTGTACAGAGAGTACTAAGTATTTACTGCATGTTTACTTTTTAAATATACCATCTATATGCTACTTGGCCCCTCTACACTGCTTTCTTGGAAATAAAATACTGTGCCTATAACTGCTCCAAGTACATAATAGGCACTCAATAAATGTTTGTTCCATGAATGCATGAATTAATAGATAAGTGGATTAGAGACTTTAATGAGATGTGTATATTTGTTTTTTTCTCTCTCCAGAAGACTGATAGCTGGTAGCAAAGATCTTGTCTTAATCTTCTTTCAGATCCTTTAAGATGTGTAACACTCTAGTGGACATTAAATAAATACTCATTGATTCATGGGTATTAAAGTGAGACACACTGGTTGAGTTGAATAGTTCCACAATCTGTCTTCAAAAAAGTCATGAATTTTACTTTATTTTTAAACATTTAACAGGAAATATTGAGAGAAAGAAAAAAATGTATCAGTATACAAGGATGGAGACAAGAATATACACAAATGTGAAGACACTGTAAATCTAGAAACATAATTTTAGAGGTTAAAGCCAAAGAAAAGAGACATGCAAAACATTTTATAACTAAATTGTATTTTGCAACTCTTTTTAGCTAAAATTTAATTATCATCATACTTTGCACATATTTGAACAGAACCTATACACTTTGAATTATACTTATTTGCTTACAGATGATTTACTCTTTCTGGGAAGTTCACTCCTTGTAGCCCCATCATCTAACTCAGCACCTGGCATACAACATTCAATCAATAAATTTTCTGCTGAATCAATTAATGGATGTAAACTGCTGATAATTATTCTCTTTTGATCTAAAAAGTTTGTCATTTAGATAAAATGTATGTTTAAATATTTACTTTAAAACGAATAAAAATATAGTATTTAAAACTTAAGCATAAATCCCTGGATATAGGTAGCAACTATTAAAACCACAGCTGGGACAGTGATTTAAACAATCTTTCTTAAAAAAATTCTTTCCCTGCCAGCATTGTCATTAGAACATTAGCAGTAATTAAAACCATAAGTAGAAGTTCTAGATGACTGAGCAGCTGAGAAAGAGCAATTAAACATCATAGACAGAAAGAAATTTACATTTTCTACATAACCATTGTATATATATTAAAAGAGGCATTAGAAACCAAGGGGTGGGGGGAAGCAACAAAAACAACAACAACAACAACACAAATAGAAGAAGAAGGGGGACAGATCATCTAAGAAATAATAATAGTGAATAGAATATTTATGTATTTTAAGTATTTCAGTTTTTAAGTTTTTAAACATCCAAAATTATAGGCGATTAAGCAAAGATTATGTCAAAGCCTTAAATGTATCAAATTATAAAATAAACTAATAATTATCTTACCTTGGTTTATTAAATTGCTAGAATGTCATAATTAAAATGGCCATGACATGCATGTTTACTTTCCTTTAATACCACTTATAAATTTGTAATACTTCGAAAAAGAGAAAGTGAGCCACTTAGTGAAATATGAAATGCTTCTTAAATAAAACCAAAACTAGAAACTTCCATGAGATGAAAAAAAAAAAATACTTGTGTAATTGTTTAAGAGAAATCATGAGAAAATAAACAATAGTTTATTTAGATCTCTTTAATAGAAAATTTAAAAAGAAGGAAACTAAAATAATATATAAATGTTATTAGTAATCAAAATAGTGCAGTGCTTGAAGTTCCACTTTAGGAAAAGGCAGAATAGAATTTTCTGGGTCATTACTAAAGGGCTAACTTTTTCATGAGCTAACCTACTTCTTATATTTAGTAGAGGTTTAGGTGTATAAATATAAAAGATATGGTCCTGAGCTTTGTGGTGATGTAATGATGAGCCAGCGCATATTAAAAACTTTACAGCTTAGTAAAGGAGACAGATGCATACGTGGTCAGCTGACTCCAGAACTCCCTCTTTTCCAGGATATAGTAAGACATGATGTTATTTTATAGATAAACTTTTTTAAAAACTAAAAACCACTGTAGAAAGTACTTACTTGCTTATTTATCCTGGCCATTCAGTAAGTAGATAGCAGACTGGAATTCTTTCACTGTATTCCACAACCACTCTAAAAGTGCTTATAAAAATAATGTGGGTGTTCTAAATCCCATTTGACTCAGCAATCCCACTACTGGGTATATACCCAAAGGATTATATTTCATTCTACTATAAAGACACATGCACTCGTATGTTTACTGCAGCACTGTTCACAATAGCAAAGACTTGGAACCAACCCAAATGCCCATCAATGATAGACTGGATAAAGAAAATGTGGCACATATACACCATGGAATACTATGCAGCCATAAAAAAGGATGAATTCATGTCCTTTGCAGGGACATTGATTAATCTGGAAACCATAATTCTCAGCAAACTAACAGAGGAGCAGAAAACCAAACACCAAATGTTCTCACTCATAAGTGGGAGTTGAACAAAGAGAACGCATGGACACATGGAGGGGAACATCACACACCAGGGCCTGTCAGGGGTTGGGGGTCAAGGGGAGGGATAGCGTTAGGAGAAATACCTGATGTAGATGACGAGTTGATGGGTGCAGCAAACCATATATAGCATGTGTATACCTATGTAACAAGCCTGCACGTTCTGCATATGTATCCCAGAACTTAAAGTATAATAAAACAAATTTAAAAACCACACAAAAAAATAATGCGGGTATGTGTGTCATGTCTCTAACTCAGATCTCCACCTGTCCTCCTTGTTTATTTTCCATTTAACAACCTAAATGAGAATACCTTAGTAACTCTCCACATTGGCCCAGAATATTCTACTTTTGAATGCATTATGTAGAATTTACTGACTTATTCCATAGTAAGAAGGAGAAGTTTCCACCTTATGCCCACAGGAATCTTTTTATCAGACCTCATCAAAGGTCTCTTGCCTTCCATGACACCCCAAGAGATTTTCAACTGATTTTCAGGCTCCTCTTCCCTCTTCCTACAACATCCTTTCCTCCACTCTCCAGAACTACACAGTTTTGTCCCATCTGTTACCTTCCTATCCCACTCAATTTGCTGCCCAACAAACAAAGTGGCCGGCAATGAGCAAGAAACACCCTCACTAGAACACAGTAAAATCAGCACCTATTGCTCTCAAGCTTGTCCTTTGGTCTGTCTCCTCACCCCAAGCCACCCTCTAAACTATTTCTTGAGGGTACCATGCACTGCCCTTCAGAGGAGCCTAACAAATAAAATATGCATGTCATTACACACTCATGACGCTGCTCTTCCCTTGTTAATTAAACATTTCACATTAAATTCCAGCAGGTTCTAATCCAGTGATATGTCATATAGATTTTCAATCTTCCCTTTTTGACATAATGTGAGATTTATTCAAGACGGTTTTACAAAGTATTATTTATTTCAGTAAAAATGTCAAGAATTGTTTATTTTTATATATTTATATTTATATATATATAAAAAACATATATATATATAAAACATATATATATATATAAAACATATATATATATATATATATTTTGAGACGGAGTTTCGCACTGTTGCCTAGGCTGGAGTGCAGTGGCATTATCTCAGCTCACTGCAAGCTCCGCCTCCTGGGTTCATGCCATTCTCCTGCCTCAGCCTCCTGTGTAGCTGGGACTACAGGTGCCTGCCACCATGCCTGGCTAATTGTTTGTATTTTTAGTAGAGACGGGGTTTCACTGTGTTAGCCAGGATGGTCTCGATCTCCTGACCTCGTGATCAGCCTGCCTCGGCCTCCGAAAGTGCTGGGATTACAGGCGTGAGCCACCATGCCCGGCCAAAAAATATTTTAATCTTAACTAATTATACGCTTTTTGCAGGTTAATTAAGATGGAAATCAATGCAGCATTGCATTAGTTCATACTCGTTATTTAATTTCCTGACCCTCTTCTACATTTCTTGGAACTGCACCCTTCCATTTATAGCAATGAAGAGATTCTTCTTTTTGCTAGAGTTTAGTGGTTATTGGCAGTAAGGCAGTATAAAGCTTGTGTAGTTCCACTTAGGTAGATATTATAAACATAGCGTATTTATTCTACTGTATAACTTAAAATAGCATATTTATTCTACTATATAGCTTATTAGTTTACTACTGCATAAATATTTTAGGTTTATTCCTTTGAGAAATCTATGTTAATCTATTTTATCTCTATTTAAGTGCTGAACCACACATTCAATAATTGTTTTAAAGGAAAATAGCACATATTTTGTTAAGTACTCTGTACTTTTTCATAACGGATCTATTGGATTTTGGCCAGTTTCTCTAAACCTGCTGTAAGCATGACTTATTTAATTACCTAAGTTGATTGAACACTTTTCCCTTAGCAATAGATTATCTCAAACTATATGCTACCCAATTTTTCTTCAGAAGCATCATAGGCTATTTAATATTTTCTTTTCTTTGTGTTCTATACTGTTAAATTACTATCAGAAATATGGTCAAGGATTACAGGCATCAATATATTATGCTTAATAATGAATTGTTTGGAAATGGTAAAATGCAAAATGATCTAATTTAGAGTTTGATATTAAATAATATGTTGAAAAATGTTCAATTGAATTAACTCTTGGTACCATTTTCTGAAATACAAAATGAAGAATTATCCCATTGTGCTTGTCTATATAAGTATAGTAAAAACAAAAACTTGCCTAAAAATCACATTTAAGATAAATAAAGAGTCACTGCTTAGGAAATTAAGTAAAAAGTTATTTTCTCCCATTTTGTGTCGGGGTAGGATGGGCAAATCAGCATTGTGAGATAAACCATGCAAAACATTTTCTGAAGGATGTTGTCTTGGTTCAGTCTACCATAACAAAGTGTCAGAAACTAATTTACTTACAAGCAACAGAGATTTATTTATTTCTTTTGAAGTTTGGAGTTTAAAATCAGGGCAACAGCATAGTTGGGTTCTAGTGATGTTCTCTTTCAGGTTGTAGACCACTGTTTTTTCATTATATCCTCACATTGCACAAAAAGGGTGAGATAACTCTCTGAGGTCTCTTTTATAAGGGTGCTAATCCCATTCATAAGGGTTCCACTCTAATCACCTAAAGGCCCTACTTCCTAATACCATCACATTAGGAGGCTGGGATTTCAACATATGGCTTTTGGACAGAATGAAACATTCAGTTCACTGTAGAGGTTGAGGTCAAAGATGGGTCAAAATAAACAAGCTAAGGGACCACATGCCAGGGAGTCAAGATACTAGTCAAAATGTCCCAATAGCCCTAGGAAATACCTAGGGAATCTTGGGTTTAACAGGGAAGGTTTAGAGAATACTTATGGCAGAGTCCTCCGTGCCTACCATAAACTCTTTTTATCCTCTTTGTGTATTTGTTTATTTATTTAGAGATAGAGTCTCACTCTGTTGCTCAGGCTGGAGTGCAGTGGTGCCGTCATAGCTCACTGTATCCTGGAACACCTGGGCTCAAGTGATCCTCCCACCTCAGCCTCCCAAAGTGTTGGGTAACTCCCAGGCTCACTGTGTAGGTGTTCTTGGTTCATTTAAAGGGACAGGCAGAACAAATTGGTGGTAAGAGAGTGCAGTTGGTTCTTATAATAGCTGTTTCCACAAACTTAGATCTTAGCACTTAACACTATTTTTATGAGAAGCTGTTGGTGTCATTGTTTTCTTTATCATTAAAATAGTTCAAATTTAATTGAATTGAATTTTTACCACCATCAGCAGTGCAGATTAAAAAGAAAAACAGAATAAACATCTTTGTTTACTAACAATTTCATTGCCATCCAGAGCAAAACAAAACAAAAATCTAATTTTAATTCCCTTATTTTGGGTGACTGCAGGTAATGAGTTACCAGGGGAATATAATAATAAGCTGACTATTGACCCTACCATTAACTTTCAGTCCTAATCATTTTACTTAGTTTTGTGTTAGCAGTGGAGACAAATCTGACAACTCATTGATGTGAAGTAAACATGTTTTGGCTGTAAAATTGTAGTATGAAGCCTCACACAATATCTCTGCCTTTAGCTATGGGACGGTCTAGTGTCTTTTACTAAAAGTGAAATATTCTGATAAGTTGTGATAGCATATGCTTAACTGCTAATGAATAGGATCTCTGTGACTTGATATCACATTTGATGAAACATGTTAAAAGATAGATTGTTCATTAACCCTTGAGGAATTATAACTTTGTTTATCCGATTATATTACATTTAACACAATTTTCTTGTTATAAAATGCCATCTGAACATCCATTATCATTCAGACACAAGCACTTCAGTGAGAAAACTAATGGGCTTAAATTACTAAAAGTTGATGGCTTTCTAAAGTAAACTAACATTGCAGATTACTTTTGCAAAATATATAAAGCAGTTTCTTTCGAGCCCATAACAGGAAAAAAGAAAATGAGAAAAACTGAATTCAACTCACATGTCTCATTCACATATTTTACTTGTATACTGCCCGGAGGAAGCCCAGATGGCTGAAATGTTGGCAGGTTTCTGCACCTGCAATGATAATAAACTACTCCTCTATTACCTGAAGTACGTGAGTTGAATACAATTACACTTTACTCACTGCTATATGCACTGGCAGGTCAACAGTTTATATTGTATTTTTATAGGATTGGCAAATGCATGTTGCTGGGCTTTGCTGAATTCACTTTTAGCAATAGAATGCCAAAGGCCACTAAAGCACCTACATGCTGACACATTAATCATGTGCCAAAGCTTAGCTTGGAGTGGCTTATTGCTACCATGATATATAGAAAAAAAGTAACAAAACAGCCTATATGATAGTTTAGTAAACAAATGGATGCTCCTGAGATCCCAAATGAGTGAGCTTAACTCAGTGTGAGCTATAATTTTTAATACCTTCAAACAAGAGAAGATATTTGAAGGACTCAGCCACAAACCTTTTCATTTTGTGACATTTTTTACAAAACATTCTCATTGTATACTATTTGAGAAGTATAGAAATGATGAAAAAGTAATAAACGTTATTCACAACCCATTACTCACACACTAACCCTATTGTCATTTTAGTATTTCTTTCTGTATGTAAACATAACTGGAAATATATACAAGCTACCTTGTGCTTTTCTTTTTTTTGTCTTTTTTTTTTTTTTTTTTTTTTTTTTGAGACGGAGTCTCACTGTCACCCAGGCTGGAGTGCAGTGGTGCGATCTTGGCTCACTGCAACCTCTGCCTCCCGGGTTCAAGCGATTCTCCTGCCTCAGCCTCTTAAGTAGCTAGGACTACAGGCATGCGTCACCACGCCAGGCTAATTTTTTGTATTTTTAATAGAGACGAGGTTTCACCATGTTGGCCAGGCTGGCCTCAAACTCCAGACCTCAAGTGAGCCACCTGTCTTGGCGTCCCAAAGTGCTGGGATTACAGGCATGAGCCACTGTGCCTGGCCCATCCTGTGCTTTTCTAAGTGATGTAATCATTTTCCTATGTGATTAAACATTTCTGCAAATTCCTCTCACTAGACACTCATCCTCCACCCTCAAACACTATCACTTTGTTGACTCTTAGTCTTCCTTCTCCAAATCTAATTTCGGTCAATACTGTCTCAGGAGTGCTTTTCCTAACTTTCCTTGCTAGGGCAGTACCTACCTGTATTAATTGCCCTCACAGTACCTTAAAACATTTCCTTTGTTCTCCTTATGTCAGTCTTTATGTTGTTCTCATTCGCAAAAATTTTTGAAAGAAAAATCGTAGAATTTTGGTTGGAATTTTGACAAACTTATAAATTAATTAAAGAAATACTGTTCTATTTATATTAATTGTTTCTATTCCATAAGTGGATTTTTCATCATTCTCCTTGAAGTGAGATTTTTTCCCATTTCCATTTAATACACTCATGTTAAATTTTGAAAACATAACCTATTCTTATTTTTGTTAATATTTGAGTCGATCTTTTACCTATTATATCTTTAGCTCATTTCAGTTGTTATATTGTGAGCCTGTGACATCTATATATAATTTATTTTGAAGTGTAGAAACATGATTGAACATTATATAATTTTAAAAGATTTATTACATATTCATGGATACTATTTACATACTTAGTAGCAAATCCATTCATTCATTCAAAAATATTCCTTGGTTACTTATTTTGTGCCACACACTCTTACGGACATAGGAGGCACAGAAGGAAACAAAAACAACAAAAATCCTGTATTACATGGAGGCTACAGACTATTGAAGGGAACATATAATAAGATAAATAATAGGTAATATGTATTTACATTATGTTATCTGGTGATCTGCTATATGGAGGGAAAAAAAACAAGAAAGAGGAATAAGGTAATTTGATGGGAATTTCAATACTAAATTTAGTGTCTTTGTCCTATTTGTGCTGCTATAACAAAATTTAAACTGAGTGGCTTATAAACAACGGAAGTTTATTTCTCACAGTTCTGGAGGCTGGCAAGTCCAAGATCAAGTTCCAGTCTCTGGTGAGGGCCTGCTTTCTGGTGCATAGATAGCACCATCTTCTTGTGTAGAGAGGTAGAGAGAACAGAGTTTTTTAGGGTCTATTAGGGCATGAATTCCATTCACGAAAGCTCTGATCTTATGACTGAATCCTAGCTCCAAAAGTCATCCTTTCCTTATTCCATCACCTTGGGAGTTAGGGTTTCCACATATGAAATTTGGAGGAAGGGGGACACAAACATTCAGACTATAACAATCAGGGTGGTCAGATGAGTCTTAAAGGAAGTGAGAAAGCCGATTTTGTGGATTATCAGGGGTGAAAGCACCACAAAATGAAGTACACACACTCTGAGGTGCGAATATAGCTTCTGTCATCTAGGAACAGCATCAAGGCCAATGTGTCTGAAGCAGAGTGAGCTAGGGGGACAGCAGTGTGACATGAGGTCACAGAAGTGATGGGAAGAAAGAGGCAAATTGTGCCCAGTGCAGTGGATCACTATAAGAATATTGGGGTTTTCAGTGAGCAGGACAGGAGGTCATTGAAAGTGTCTGAGCATAAGCTAGTTTTTGGCAGGATCACTCTGGCTGTTGCGTTGAGAATAGACTATAGAAGGTAACCAGAAAGGTCAGTTAGGAGTCTCAAAAATCCAGGTGAGAAATACTTGTGGCTTGAAGTATGGTGTTAGGAGTATAGGTAGTGAGAAATGCTTTTCAGTCTATTTCCAATTACATATCAGGAATTTGTAATTTGTAATTCCTGATATGTAACTGGAAATAGACCTAAAAGCATTTGTTAACTGTTAGATGTAGGATTTGAGAGAAAGATAAGAGTTAAGAATGACTTTCTGGTTTATGGCTTGAGAAAGGATGAAGTTGACATAAAATGGAGTGGGAAAATTTCAGGAGGAGAAATTCAAGAAGGAAAATCAGGAAATTCTGTTTTAAACATGTTAAATTGGAGATGACTGTTATGCATGCAACTGGAGATGTGGAGTGAGCAGTTGTGTACATCCCCTGGAGGTCAGGGGGTAGGTATAGGCTGCAGATACAAATTTTTGATAAAAAAGTTATATAATCTTAAACATATTAGCTTATATTTTAATCAGTGGATATTTGTTGATGGTGATAGTAATAAGAGAAATTCAATGTAACAAATATTTATTTGTCAGGTGCTAAGATATAATGATTAATAAGACACATATGGTTCTTGGCCTCATCCAAATTAAAATATATGGGGGTGGATAGAATATTTTGCATTTTTTATAATTTATATTTCTTTTAATAAGATAAAGCATTCAAAGCTAATAATATCATAAATTAATAAAAAATAACTTAAAAGAAAATTTAATATAATATGTCCTGATATATTACCAAAAACATGTATTCACCTTCATCACTTACCTCATATTGACATCCCTTCCATCCTTTCATTCAATCTACTCCATGCTACACAATTGCAATAATTTTTATTAATAAATATCGTGAATAAAAAATTATTTATGTAAGTTATTCTTGCTTCTCAGAGCTATTTTCACTAAGGTCAGATAAATCACTTTGATCATAATTCTGTGTATTTTATTCTCAAAACTTTCTTTAGCTAATGATGTCTCATGTTACATCAATGAATTCACTTTCACCATTTTACTTAGCAGTATGACACTGACCATTTTGGTCCTCTCAATTAGGATATTTCTTATTCTCCTTTTAATTACTTCACTGCTATTTATTTCTGAGTGCTTATCAAGAAAATATAATTTTATAATAACTTAATAAGAGGAGTAGAATCTCTCTAACTAGATGATTCTAAGCAGTTTGGTATCCTTTATGTTGTATACTTTTCATAGACCATTGAAATGAAAATCTTAGGAAAAGTTTTTGAATTACAAGAATTGAATTATATTTCCAGAATATTTCTGAGCTTGTGCCAACGTAGTCTACATTGTGAGCAATGGTGACAATATTAGTTCCCCAAATGAAAACAACATAAATTTATATTAATGTTTATTTTATCCAGGGTAATCATAGTAACACATTTTTTGGCATTATTAATTTTAATTAACCTGTTAATTGCCACATATAAATGATACCAAATTTTTTCTTTCTATAAAATGCATATGAGCCAAACTACTCTTACTAGATTATTTTGACTATAAGATGAAATGTATAGTTAACATGGAGTGACATGTTTAGTAACCCAGGTAAGGTATCAGAATGGCTTGGTCCATAGTGAAAGCAGCAGAGGCAGTGATAGGTGGTGAATTTGAATGTTGATTATACAGTTGCTAGTATTGGATGATGTCTTTTCTAGTGATTGAAAAAATGGAGGCATAAGAACAACTCAAATTTTTTTTTACCTGAAAGACTAGATGACAGAGTTATTCACTGAGATGTGGAAGACTGAAAGAGCTGGTTAGGAGAGGAAATGTTATCAAGAACTCTGCTTCAGACATGCTAATTCTGAACTGCTTATTAGGTATTCAGTAGAGGTGTCAAGTCAGTTAAATGTATGGGTAATGGGTTGAGAAATAGGTATAGTCTGGAGACATAAATATAGGCATTGTCAGCATATTGATGGCCTTGAATGACTAAGATAAGATGAAAGCATTTTATAAGCAGGTGATAGGCATGAATAGGGGAGTAGAGTGAATTCTGTTTAACTCACATGTGGTCTTTGTAAGTGAGGAGATGAGGAAGTTGAAAGGGAATGTAAGGGATTGCTATGGTTGGAATGTCCCCTCCAAAATCATGTGGTTATTTAATTGCCAATGTCATTGCATTGGGAGATAAGGCCTTTAAGAGGTGATTGCCAATGTCACTGCATTGGGAGATGAGGCCTTTAAGAGGTGACTGCCAATGTAATTGCATTGGGAGATGAGGCCTTTAAGAGGTGATTAAGTCATGAGGGCTCTGCCCTCTTGAATGGATTAATGCCCTTATTACAGGAGTGGGTTAATTACTGCAGGAGTTTGGTTCTCTTTTTCTCTCTGTCTCACACACTTGCTTGTCCTTCTGCTCTTCTGCCCCAGGATAATGCAGCACAAGGCCTTCAGCAGACACTAGCACTTTGATGTTAGACTTCTCAGTATCCAGTACCATGAGCCAAATACATCATTTTCTCTATAAATTACCCAGCCTGCAGTATTCTGTTATAGTAGCGAAAAATGATTGAAACAGAAAGTGATCTTGGTCACAAATGTGCCACCAAAAACCCCTAAACAGCACTTGATAATACATATTTGCTCAATGGATCATGAAATCTAAGCCAAATAAAATCAGAAAAGAGGACTTGTGAGGCTTGAATGACAATGAAAGTGTAGTAGCATCTAAGAATGAAATGTTCTGGTTGCATTTGAGTCCCAGAGAGAGTGGACTGGAGACGTGGGAGTTGGTGGTCAGCAAGTAGCATGTGTGGAATATGGAAGGGCTGCGTGTATTGGTTATGAAAACGTGAAGAGCACACCCACAGAGTGACTGAGAAAGGGTAGAGACTGGGATCTTAGGACGAGAGTCCAGGAACTAGGAGAATGATGGGAATGATCATCTGCATGAAAAGTAAAACCACCAGTTCCTTTTTCTTCCAAGTTTTATAAGAGTTTTATCATGATTGTTATTAATTTTATAAAATACTTTTATGCCTTCTTTAAGATAGTTATAAGCTTTTCCTCCTTCATTTTGTTAGTATGTCAAAATGCATTGATTACTTTTTCTGTAATTATAAACACCTTGCATTACTGGACTAAACCCAAATCAGCAGGAATGAATTACTTTTTATTTACATCAACGGATTCAGTTTGCTAAATATTTTGATTAGTATTCTTTGCATTTATCTTTATGAGGAATTTGCCTGTAACTTTCCCTTCTTAAGTATTTCTTCAGTTTTGGGAAATTTACAGCAATTATTTATTGAAATGATACTACTACACCATTCCATTATGCTGGATTTACTCTTATCTATATGTACTGGAGGCTGTCAGCTTAGCCTCTGGTTGCTCAACTATTGTCCTATTTGTAACATATCTTTGTCTTTTTGAGTGATTTGCTAGTAAATTCCTCAACAACAGCAACAAATTTAGTAATTCCAAGTACAGTTCAAGTGACTGTACTTTCTAATACTATTTAAAATTACTTCTTTACATATTGACCTTTTTAAATTTGTTTTATAATTTCTTACTTTATGTCAATGGAAATTATTCCTTCGTTTATCACTGGAAGCATCTTAAACACACTTTAGATTATTTATGTAACTGATACAAAATATTATTTTTTATGCAATTTTCTTTGAATATTCCTTGGAAGCTAGAATTTTCTTCTTTTTGCTATCTTTTTTCTAGCCTTTCTCCTTTTTATTCCAACTCTCACTTCCCATCTCTGTATTCACTCTTCCAGTCTTGAGGTTGAACATTATCTTAATCTCTCTAGTCACTTAACTCCCTGGGCTCCCAGCCCAGAACCACTTTTTAAATCAAGACATTTTAGGCAGGGCACTGTGATCCAGTTAGAGAGGCAGTTTGGTCAGTTCTTGTTTATAAGGCTGTGTCTGTGTTCTCACTGCTACAGGCCTGCAAGCTGTTTGAAGCCACAGCCCAGGTGGTGTGAATTTTTATTCTTAGCTTACTTCAAAGAACTGGAGAGGCTTACTCCAGGCCCTGGCTTCAAGAACTTTCTATGCCTGCTCCTGTCTCTGTCTGGGAGCACTGAAGTCTCTTTCACTCCCTCGGAACAAACTTAAGACCTGCAACTAAGCAGACCTGTAGTTTTCATTGTATTTGCTTCTTCTCTGCTTACTTTATTTATTTAAAAGATTGGTCCTCCAAATAAAATGTGTGTATGTTGCTTTTTCCTTCATATTTTTATTATTATATGTTTGCAAAGAAAGCATGGAGCAAAAATATGAACTCCTGCACCCACTTATGAGGAAATCCTGATACATCTGAATCAGTTTTTCTTGATGGAATGAGTGTTTATTAGTAAAATACGAAACGGAATAAAAACAAATAAATACTTAGTGCACTGCACTGACATTTTCAGGAGAAACATTTTTGAAAATTTTACATGTGGAAAAAAAGTTTATTTCTGCAAATGATAATATGACTGTAAAATTTTTGAAAAGCTTATAACCATCTCTGTATTTTTATGAGCCTAAACTGTGATTGAAGCTGTGTTAAGTCACAGCTGGTAGTTAAGCTGTGAGAGGGACGCAGATAAATGCACGATACTACTTTTACGGAACTTAAACTACAATAGATACAATATTATCACAGAAAACTATAATAAATCATAGACATGGATAAACCTGAAATGAGATCTATATTTAAAGAATTTCAAGAAATATGACATTTCAGTGAGAGTGGAAAGCAACATTTTCGTGCAAAACTATGAGATAGATAGCCTTTCAAAATAAATAGAATTTTGGAACTGGGAGGTTTGTAGCTAGGACACTATGAACAGAGGGAGCTGTAAGAAGAGAAACCCCACTTGGGAGGCTGAGGCAGGAGAAACACTTGAACCCAGGAGACAGAGGTTGCAGTGAGCCCACATGGCGCCATTGCACTCTTCTGGGCGACAGAGTGAGAGTCCATCTTAAAAAATAATAATAATAATGATAGAAGAAAAACCCCGAAGTGGACAAATTTTGCTTGCCTACCAGTAATTACTAACATTTTACTAAGAAAGGTAAAATAAGTGTAGGTGGCAAGAGATCAGCATATATTTGTGCATGCTGAAATGCTATTAGCTTTTCTGGACCTACCCACCCTGTTAACTGAGTCCATCTTTTCTTTTATTGGAGCTAATTTTTGACATTTAAAATCCTTCTGCAGGTTTCAGTCACTCACTGGCCTAACTCCATATTCAAAGTTTCTAGAACAGTTTTCTTGATTCATTGGAGTCTTATTTAATTACATTCCTTCCATAGCCCTGATTTGTGAATTTTATGCCATATTATTATTCACTTGTTTTCATGTTGTTTTGCAATTATCACCTACGTATTTTATATCTGTACGTTTAGTCTCCTTCAAATAAATTGCAAGCTCTTAAAAATCAGTACAGGCACTTTGTACTTCTTTGGAACTTCCTCTATACATATTCAGTGTTTTGAAGGAATGTTTTAATTAATAATTTATGTATTTGAAAAAAATATATATTATAAAAAAGAATTCAATTTTACGTGTTCTTCTGGTTTTTTTCTCCATTTGTCCCCATTATTCTCTTTCTACTTTCACCATGACTGCCCTACTCTCTCTCTATCTGAACACATAAATATTTATTGTACATATACATACACACATACGCAAACACACATATAACACATACACACATGCACAAACGTGCATTCATGCTATACAGATAGTATATTAAGAAGTAGTCATTTCTTATAGGTTCAAGTGTGTGCAATTTTTTAACAGGATAAGTTCTAGTAGAATGAATAACAGCATGAATTTCACAAATTATGAAAAAAGTAGTCATTTCTAAGAGGGATAATATATAACATTTAGTATAATCATACTATAAATTCCCTTATTATTATTTTTAGGCAAAGACAACATCTTAGAAAGTTAGAGAAGTAAAGCATCTTTAAAACCCTCAAGATAGTACTTTTATGTATGTGTAAAACGTAACAACTGTATGTCTAAGACAGTGTCTATGTCTACTTGCCGTCAATCACCTTCCTTCTTTTATTAGTTTGAGATAGAAGATAAACAACAAGACTGACAGTTTTGTGTCCTTTGCTGTTTTGTGTCACCATCACAGACAAAACAGTATTATGTCATCACTCAAGTCTGTCACATTTATTGTGTGCTCCTATATGTCTTAAAGACTGTTTTCTTCCTAATCCTCATAAATAAATATATAAAGAATATATTGATTGTATATTATTTTATCGTGGAAATATTTCCCATAATATTATGACCTCTACCACAGATGAGAACATTTATGCTGTTGCCAGTCTCAAAAGTAAATGTATTTTGTTTGAAAGGAATGTTTCTTAGATAAACAATAAATATTTTAAAAAGAATTTATTTTTCAAAATATGGAGAAGCTGTAATGAATATCTACATCTGTGTAATATGTAAATCAAGCATAGTGAATGTTATTATTTTATCATAAGAACTTAAGCATTTAGTGCTACAAGAAGAAATACTTTGAAAATTTTTAAATTATGCTTATTTTATGGGCCGTTTAAATAGCATTGTACACTTCTTCAGAAAATTGGTATCTGATCTTGAATAGTGATAAAAACAGTGAATCGGCAAGTATAAGAAGACCTTCACGTGATTGATATAATCACCACTTCCTTTTCCTTTTTCTTGTATTTTCTGGAGCCTCATCTATTTCCACCTTGCCTTACTTTCACATTTTAAAATGAGATCTTAGGCCACGTTTCTTGCTAAAACACAGTCTAAACAAGTGAATCAGCTCTACAGCTTCAAATAGTCAATTTCAATAGTACCTTATTATTAAGGTACCAACAATATAATTTGTGATTTTTATTTTATATCTTCTCAGTGTAACATTTTAAAAATAGATAGATGTAATTAACTTAGCTGATAAAAATTTAAAAATTCAGAAAAGCTCAAAGAAGCAAGAAAAGAGTCCCAAATTTCATCAATCCGTTAGATACATTTTCTATTTTATTATAGAATAGATACCATATTGAACATTTTATTTTACATCCTTCTGTTCTATTTTCAATTAAAGTTGTATTATTTTCCTATTATAAAAGTTTTCAGGCTTATAATATGAAAGCTTTCTAATGTTCCATTAAAATTATAATGTTGGATATTTATTTATACTTTTGCATTATTATAAATCTATGATGACAGTTTTCTTCATACAAATTTTGGTTAAAACAGAAACGACTTTCACTAGAATGATGAGAGCACATCAATTCTTACCTATAATTGACAGCCTGTTATCTTGATTGCCTAATGAATTTCTTAGGTAAATAGGTAATATTTTTCTGAGGCCTTGAATGTCTAACGATTTTCTATTGCAATATCATGTGGAAGATAAATTGGTTGGTTATGAAATTTTTGTCCTCAAAGTTGTGATGAAATTACTCCTTTGTTTTTGAGATTTAATAACTATTCTAATGAAAACACAAGTGACTTTTAGCCACAGAAATTATGCTACTAATATGCCTTCAATTCTGTTGTCATAGTGTTATTTTTCTCAATAATTTGTGTTTGTGTGTAATCTTTCCCTTCTCTTGTATGTACTACCTTATCTTCTGCTTTCTGAGCTATCTCAAGTTGGTTAACGAAATCATTGTTTCCATTTTGCACTGCATTTACATAGCTTTGACTGCTTTGAGTTTGGACTTGAATTCTTTTGCACCTTTATCTTCATCTCCATTTTTAATTGGATCGTTTATTGTAATATTTCAGATTAATTTTTCTATGTGTCTTTCTGCTTTTTTATTGGAGTTTATATCTTCTTACAGCATATTGAGGATTTAAACATTTTTATTATATTTTTCTGTTTTTTTGTAGCAAATTCTATAGTAATATTTTAAGAATGATATCCCTTTTATGATAAATTGTATTTTTCATGCTTCCCATTTACTTTTTATTTAATTCATTTTTGTCTGTTATGGTAATGCTAACCTCACTAGTTCAGCTAACTCGACAGAAGCTCTACTAACTTCTTAAAGCTCGGCAATGAAGTGAAATATGTCACTTTACTCACTTTTTTTTGGCTGAATCTGGTCACATGACAGCCCTTCACTAAGCAATTACTTACTGAATTTAAATATGGAATAAAACTTTTTTTTTTAGAAAAGTAGTCAGCTTCGTTCCATTCATTTTTAGCAGGAAGGTATTTTTTCAGATACGATGTGTGATGACAGGAGACATTAATATTACCCTCAAATTCCCTTTTGTTTTACAATTAAATGGTTTATAAATGTATTAGTTCTTAGCCCAATCCCTAATTTCTAGGTGAATTAATCACAGGTGGTCCCATAGATCTCATATGGGATTTCAACTTTCCTAATTTTTGTGGGGTCTCAGATACTTCTAACAGAGCTCTGTACAACCACCATGCTCGTGATTCATTGCTGTTAAAGTTCTTGTTTCCTTTATCTGCCTACATTTTTTATATTGTTATTATTATTATTATTTTGAGATGGAGTCTCACTCTGTCTATCAGGCTGGAGTGCAGTGGCGCGATCTCGGCTCACGGCAAGCTCTGCATCCTGGGTTCACGCCATTCTCTTCCCTCAGCCTCCCAAGTAGCTGGGACTACAGGTGCCCGCCACCACGGGGCCTGGCTAATTTTTTGTATTTTTAGTAGAGACGGAGTTTCACCATGTTAGCCAGGACGGTATTGATCTCCTGACCTCGTGATCCTCCCGCCTTGGCCTCCCAAAGTGCTGGGATTACAGGCGTGAGCCACCGCGCCCTGCCCTATCTGCCTAGATTTTAGTTGTGAGTTCTGAACCTTCTCGAATATAATCTACCACTGCCAATCCCAATGTGTATGGCAGGAGATTACTTTTATACTGTTAACTTCTTACTATAACATAAGATCTCCTGGGCTCATTAGAAACAATTCTGATCACTTCAAAATGCAGCACTGACTTGGTATTTTCTGCTTGGTAAAATTCCTTATATATCTTGAATAGGTAGATGCATAGACAAAGATTCATTTAGCTTGTTTGGGCTAACTAACTTTTTGTTGTTGTTGATGATGATTTTTTTTTTTTAACTTTTACTTTAGGTTCAGGGTACATGTGCAGATTTGTTATATGGGTATACTTGTGTCATGGAGATTTGTTGTACTAATTATTTTGCCACCAAAGTCTTGAGCCTAGCACCCACTAATTATTTTTTCCTGATTTCTCCTTCCTCCCATCCTCCATCCTCAGGTAGGCCCTAGTGTCTGTTCCCTTCTTTGTGTCTGTGTGTTCTCATCATTTAGCTCCCATTTATAAGTGAGAAAATGCTGTATTTTGTTTTCTGTCCTGTACTAGTTTGCTAAGGATGATAGCCTTCAACTCCATCCATGATCCTGCAAAGGACATGATCTTCTTTTGTATGGCTGTGTAATATTCCATAGTATATATGTACCACATTTTCTTTATCCATTCTACCAATGATGGACATTTAGGTTAATTCCATGTCTTTGCTATTGTGAATAGTGCTACAATGAACAAAATGTATGCATATGTCTTTATGGTAGAATGATTTCTATTCCTTTGGGTATATAGCCCATAATGGGATTGCTGGGTTGAATGATAGTTCTGTTTTTAGCTCTTTGAGGAATCCTCACATTGCTTTGCACAATGATTGAACTAATTCACACTCTCCTTCTTATACCATATACAAAAAAATCAACTCAAGATGGATTAAAGGCTTAAATGTAAAACCCAAAACTATAAAAACTCTGGAAGACAACATAGGCAATAATATTCCAGACATAGGAACTGACAGAGATTTCCTGATGAAGATGCCAAAAGCAATCACAACAAAAGCAAAAGTTGACAAATGAGATCTAATTAAACTTAAGAGCTTCTGTACAGTAAAAGAAACAACAGAGTGAACAGACAACCTACAGAATGGGATAAAATGCTTGCAAACTATGCATCTGACAAAGGTCTAATATCCAGCAACTATAAGGAACTTAAATTTACATGAATAAACAACCCCATTAAAAAGTGGGTAAAACATGAACAGACAGTTTTCAAAATAAGATATGCACATGGCCAAAACATATATTGAAAAATGCTCAACATCACTAATCATTAGAGAAATGCACATCAAAACCACTAAATGTTTTTTAAGTCTGGTTAGTCTATCATCAGCCTTATATTTAATAAGATACCATTCACAGTTTTTCTAACAGATTGAATATGAGGATTAGTAATTATTAGCTAGGAAGTTACTTGAATATAATATTTAAGAGATCTATAGGCTCTAGAGTCAGACTGCCTGAACACTCATCTGTGCTCAGATATATATTATCTATGTAACTTTGGGTGAGTTACTGAACCTCTCTGATGTTTAGGTTTCTCATCTTTAGAAGAGAAATAATGCTAGTGTAAGTCTCAATGAGCTATTGTGAAGATAAAAGGTAGAAAAATCTATATAAACACTTAGCAAATGTTTTGTCAGATAGTGCATACTCCATAAATTAACATTACTCTATCGTTGTCATCATCATCATCATCATCATGTGATTTTTCCTCTATGTGATGATGGTTTTCCTATATCCATCTTTGATGAGACATTAGGTTTATCTACTGCCCTTGTATTGAGCACATGGTTGGTAGGCATCCAGTTCTTTAAGAAATTTTTAAATGGCATTTTCTTTTGTCCAGTTGGAAAATTCCCCAAAATATTTGCATGGTGGTGTGGCTATTCAAAATATGTTGTGGAATATACAAACAAAATACAGTTTATTAGCCAATTATTTTCAAATCGTGTATTTTTCTTATTCTCTCCTGCATTGGAAGACTATTTTATACAATCTTTCTTTCATACTGTCCCCATTACCTCAGTGAAAGCTCCCTAAGAGAGAGCCAGCATCTTTTCTACAGTGTAAGCTGGTTGTTGGGCTGCCTATGTGACCAAGGCCAAGTCAAGCTCAAAGCCTGTAAGTCTAGATCTCAAAGATTCATATGACAGTGGTGGAGTCAGCAAGTACAGAAGACTTTGAAGCAGTACATATCACACTATGGATTTCCCTCTTGAGAATTAGTAAGAGCAGTGTGTGTTCAGAGCTTTCTCTCTGGGTTTCAGAAGTCACCTCCACAGTATATCTCATTTCAACCTAGCTACAAAGTAGGAATTCACAGTTACTGCTGAACCATTATATTTAATAAAACACAATGTGTTCTTTTATTGTGAATTTCACATGTGTCTAATTTGATGTATATTTTTTCCAATGTTTTTGGTAAGTTTTGGAACATTTCTTATGTGAATTACTAAAAAAAAAAGCCTTTATTATACTCATTTATAAAAGATGTTTATCAAATTACCTTTCATCAGTCACTTTCATTTGCCCCAGGAGTTGCAACTTCAATAATTTTAATTTTGCATTGGCTTTTTGTCCTATTCCATCTTAAACTGCCCTTCTCACTTATCTATATATTTATTCATACATACAATGTATACATATTATTGTATTTATATTTATACTTTATATAAATTTATGTTTATATTTATACATTATATATATATAATTTAGATACATTCAGTACTATATATCACAAGATAAATATGCTTAAATTTTCCAAAATTTTATGGTTTAGTTGTGGTATTAAGTATTAAGATATGCTGTCTCTCGTTTTTACACTTCTTTTTTGTGCCTTTTGCTAAAACTTCTTATCAATTTGAATGTCATGAATTTTTTTATACATTGACTGTCTTAGTCTATTGCATGTTGCTATAACAAAATACCACAGACTGGGTAATTTACAAACACTAGAAATTCACTTGGCTCATGGTTCTGGAGGCTGAAGTGTAAGAACATGGTGCTGGCATCTGGCAAGGGTCTTTGTGCTGTATCATGGCAGAAGGTAAAAGGGCACTTCCCAAAACTTCTTTGTTAAAGTCATTAAAATGCTCCATAAGGAAGAGCCCTCATGACTTAATCACTCTTTAAAGGGCCAACCTCTTAATACTGTTACAATGGCTATTAAATTTCAATGTGAGCTTTGGAGGAGACATTCAAACCATAGCATTAACAAAACTACTAAATGTTAACATGTAACTTAGTATAAATAGAATTGTTAAAAACCAATTCAGATCACTCTGTGATAAAGAAAAATAAATCATTTAAAGAAAGAAAATTCAACATCATAGAAAATACTTCAAAAAGTAGGATGTCAGCCAAACGTGGTGGCTGAGCTGGTGGTCCCAGCACTTTGGGAAGCCAAGGCAGGCAGATCACTTAAGGTCAGGAATTTAAGACCAGCCTGGCCAACCTGGTGAAACTTCGTCTCTACTAAAAATAGGAAAATTAGTCAGGCATGGTGGTGTGTGCCTGTTATCCCAGCTACTGGGGAGGCTGAGACAGGAGAATCGCTGGAACCAGGGAGGCAGAGGTTGCAGTGGGCTGAGATTGTGCCACTGCACTCCAGCCTGGGTGACAGAGTGAGTGAAATTCATCTCAAAAAAATAAAATTAAATTAAATTTAAAAAGTAGGATGTCATTCTTCAAATTCTATATAGTAAATGATAATTTTTAAAATTTTTATTACTCATCACTTTCACATTGAATTTTTGATGTATGTGAGATATTAGAAACAATATTCATTATAATCAGTAATTTGCTAATTTTTTAAAGATAATATTTTATTTGTGGAAAATTCACACTCACCTCCTTCATCCCCAAAAGGGAAATATTAGTAAGAAGTGGGGAAACTGAGGGAAGGAAGCAAGATCAAGTGGTGAAACTTTCCGTAGCAAAAATATATTGGCAATGAAAAATATTAAACTCATTTCATAGAAAATTATGGACTATTGTTAATAAAATTTATATTATTTTAATATTTTTATTCTTATGCCTACGTTTTAAAAATATAAAAGAGAACAGTTTCTTAATTGTACAACAAGTGCCTGGATTTTCAGTTTGTGTACTCTAAGAAGTTGTTTATTTCATTAAATAATTATGTTATTACCTTAGTGAAAACAGAACTGTGAAAAATTTAATCCAAATTTCAGGCTGTAGAAGGTACAACTTCGGGATTATTAGAATTGTACACAATGTAGTCTGGAGTCATTTTCCCTTCCTGTGTTGTAAATGCCAACTGAAGGCTTTCACAGAATATGGGATTCTGTAAAATTACAAGGCAGATTATAAATAACAAGGGCTGGTTTCTCTATCTAATGAAGGCAGATGTTTTTGATTCCCAATCTACCTTTGTGTATGCATTTCCATAATAGCATGACATATAATCTTCTTGTCTCTTTGATATAAATGCTACATGAGAGTTATACCACATGGCTACATATGGTGATGGTTTTATAGTTAGATATAAAAAATGAATTTCATATGTCTATGAGGAGACCAATATATTGTAGGTTGTTAAAAAGAATGAGGGCTTACAAAAATTGTTATGGTTCAAATACCATATCATTTTCTTGTTCTACGGATCCAGGCCAGTAGTGAGTGGTATCAAATTGTGAACGCTATCAAATACCAAAATATATTTTCTCAAGAAAAATAAAAACTGTAATGTGACAAACACCTAGGGAAATACTGTGTTTTGAAGAAGGAAACAAAATATTCACAAACTTTTATTTGTAGGGGATGGAGAGGAAATATTTTGTCTCTGTAAGTCTCTTGAAAATGGGTATTAGAATTTTGTAGTTAATTAATTTTGATGACTATCTGTTAACAGTCTTCTCTCATAAAACTACAATACTAAACATAGAAATACTAGGGTGTAAAAACTGAAATTCTATTACTGAAAAACTGTCTTCAAATAGTAACACAGTTTCCAGATGTATTGCTTAGGTTCTGTTTGCATTTCTATTTTAAAACTCCATTTACTATGGTTTCAGTAAAAATTCGGTCCAGGCTGAAACTTGGAATACCAAATAGGAGCTCTGGAGCAATGGTTGTCTTTACCAATTTTCCAGAAGATTGATTTAGATTGTTTTATGTTGTATGACTGTGAAAGAACAAAACAGAAAAGGATTTGCTTGTTTGATATTTTATTCTGTCTGTAATACAAATCTTATTTTTTTTTCCTGGCAATTTGTACTATTACAAATGACACATACTGATTTTAATATATCCAATAAGATTGTATGGAGCTACCAACAAATAAAATAACATTTTGATAATAAGAATAAGAGTCTTCATCTTGCCTCTTTTGCAATATCTAATGGCATATTTTCATCACACAGCTCAAGATACAAAGTATAACATCTGACAAGTGTTAAGTCTTAGACTTCTGATCCTTTTTGTAAGCTTTCTTATAGTTTATTTGACTTAGTTTTCCTATCTGATTTATTAGGGTACAGATCTAAGTAGTAGAAAAATTATTCTAGTATGTAAAAAACAAAGTTGTCCTCACTGAAGCTTCAAATCCTTGTCCTGATTCTGATCCTTGGGGGAAGTAGAGATTTCAACTGAAAAAAACATGGCTAGCAGATTGCATGAGTCAGTCCTGTTAGTGACCAGCTTTGGAGAAAGCAATAGGAGTAAAGCAGAGTAAGCAATTAGCACAGGACTAAGTGGACAATGTGCAGAGAGCAAGCCTGTTGCAGAAGTCTGAAAGTAGCAGTGTTTGTGTGGGTAACCTTAAAGAACAAAGTTAGAAACAGAGGAAGTAGTCTACTCTCAGGCAACAGACAGCAAAATAAAATTCAATACTGGATCAAAGGCCTTATGGGTAGAGTTCTTAAGTACATCTTCCCATAGGTAGAACTTGGCTTATTGTACTGACACATCTCAACTTCCTATAGGAATTAAGTGGGATACTTGGGTGGAAAGCACATGCACTGAGGCTAAGGAAAATGAAGGCTGACACCCCGTGGTTGTTGAAATCCTGTCACATCAGTGACATGGATTTAAGTTAGGAAATGAAACTTACTGGTTGGAGATTAAATACATTTTAAAAACTTTTAAATGTGTGCAGTGTTTGTCTTGGCTAAAGTCTTATGAGTGTAAATGTTATACATTGAGAATTACATAGCCAAGGGATACTTGAAGTGATTTCTATCATCCTGATGTAGGTTTTCCTTTAGTACTTGTCTATAAAATATAATGAATTATAATGATAAAAATCACACAGTATAAAATATTCACTTAATATGTGGAATTTTCTCAAACGTTGTTAATACAGTTATAGAATATTATATGCTGAAGATTGATAATCCGCATATTCAATTTAATCTAATAAATTACTAATGGGTATTGATATGTACCATGACATGTGTGAGGCCTTGAAAAAAGTCCAAAAAGGTATATCATAATCCCAGTTTGGGAAAGTTTCATGTCCAATGGGTGAACTAGAAAAAAATGTAAGAAATGTTGCATTTTAATGTTCTCTTAAAAGTGACTCACAATGGAATATGATTTTTTGTCATGATTTAAGCATTCTAAAATGTGACATGAATTATTACTCACTAGAAACCAATCTAAAGATACCTTTTAAAGTTTCCAGCAAGGAGTATGTGATCACCTTTATAAATATAACACTTAAGGAAAGAAAACTATGAATGTAAGTATTCACAAATTGCTAGCAGGTTCTTGAATAAATCATGCTACATAAATTCAACAGTGCTATTCTTATTAAGTTAATTTGGTCTAAAACTAACTAATATACAACTTACTTAATATGCTGGTACCTTTTGTTAGAAATGGGCATAAAATGTGTCTGAAATCCTCCAATTAGTTGTCTTAGGCATTTTTATTTTATTCAGCATGAATCCAAAATACACGTTTGTATGATTGTTGAACCATTTAAAACCAACGGTGTATTGGAAAAATCATTTTATCCAGAGTTAAGTACTATTTAATAGAGTTTTACTCATTGGTCATATAGTAGAGTGTTATATGCAGCTAAGATGGAATCTTCCAGAATTTAGAGTTTTGAACTGTTAAATTACCCCACCGGTGGGTAGCAGGCAACTAATGGCTGTTAGGGCATGACCTCAAAGTGGCCTACTTAACCCATTCGCTTATTTTTAATAGCTCTGTGATATGTGAATAACACCCTTTTCTTCTTTTATTACACATGCTCATTTCTTTTATTCTTTATTCATTCCTAGTTTAATGTTTTAAAATATTTTTAAATAAAATGTTTGAGTTTTTAGTTTATTATTGAAAAGGACATTCAGGTAATGATTTATATTCTGTGTCCTCAAAGGGGAACATTTTTTAAAAGATTGAATTCATTTCCACTGACAATATTACAATTCTTTATTTAGGTTCACTGTATATTTGGGACCTGCTACATAGAAAAGTTAAATGATATGAATGGTCTCTGATTAACTACGGCCTTTTGTGTTTTGGGAAACCGTAAGGTAAAATGAAAATATTTTCAAAGTTCACTCATTCAGTAGTTCAGATCATTTTCCAGTGAACTGTCACTTACTTAAAAAATTTGTGTAGCATGATGTTTCTAGCTCTTTTATACTCAACAGTGTCTAAATGGAACATTTTTTTTCTTCTGTTTTTTTTTTTTTTTTTTTGGTTTTTTTGTGGCTTCTTTCCCATGGGGGATCCTGTGGAGAGATATTGAAGAGGACTTCCTAGTTCAGCTCTTTTTCACTCTGTTCTTATCACATATAGACAGAGTTTAGCTCTCAGTTTCAATTCAATAGCTACTCACTGAATGCCTACTGTGTAGATAGCTATAGCTCAGGGTGCTGAAATAGTGAAACAAGGTTCCTGCTCACAGGAAACCCACTGAGTTATAGTATATTCCTCTTTGGACTGTTAAATGTTTTTTCCTTATTCTTCATACTTGAAATGCTGTTTTAAAGTGAACTGTAGATGACATCATAAGTGTTTGTGAACTTGAAAAGATTAACAGTGTGGATGTAGGATTTACTTAAAATATTCAGTTCATGGAAAATCTTGTTAGGCAGCTCTATTGCTTAGCCAATAAACTATTAAGAAAATGTACACAATAAATAATCCATGTAGTAATTTTGGCAGTTTCTTGGTCCTTAAGAATGTGTTGTCCATTTTTAAATATATATTCATATATTTCAGTTCTAAAATTCTAAACCACATTCTTTATACTTTCACTGTGATGTAGCATAGGAGTTTTACCTCATAGAGGACTGAGACATATTTAAGTAACTTGCTCAAGTTAATATGATTAAACTATAATGAAGCTTACATAAAACTTCATGTGTTCTGCTTTTCAGAGCCTAGTTTTTAATTAGTCAAGGCTGGTAATAATCATAGAAACAACTGAAAGTATTATATGATTTGATAAGTTGAATTGATTGAAATATTTCAGACATGAAAATATCTAGTTTTTCCTCAGGATTCCAAACCCCAAATAATTTTAAAATGTCATTGTAGATGTATTTGAAGTCACATTACATTCTCCATGATATCATTCAGTTCTCATCATAATCCAAAGATGGAAGGAATCAGAAATTATTATCACCAGAAACTGACTTCATACAAGTGTCTGGAGCCAAGTCTTTTGATTTCAAATCAGTACCTTTAGCCTTGTTCCATGAAAATGGTTTAAATATGAAAGTCTTATATTCGTATGTAGTGAGCAATTCAGTTTAACTTTGGTGATGTTATATAGGTTCCAAAATACAGTCTGGCTAAAATAGAGTTAAATTCCTTTTGTCTGGATTCACTGAGAATTGTAAGCTCTGTCTGTGTCAGTGGAACCTGTGTTAGGGGAAATGAAATTGAGCACAGGAGGTGGGTAACGTATTCTATCCATACAGTATCACAGCAGGAATTTGAGATTTTTCCTTTTGGTGACCTCTTAAAAAATGTGTGAACAAACTACATGAGTATGTATAATATACATATATATTTAGTATATATGTACACATAGTAACAAAATTTTAAAATTATATATAAATACATATATTTATATAAGATAAATATTTATGTGAATAAATCATTGTTTTGAAAAGGGGTTGATATAGCATGAGTTCCTATTGTGAGAATAACAAATTTGTGCCCTACTACTTTCCTCTGGCAGCTAAACAAGGCATCTATATCATGGCATGTAGGAGATAGAGTATGAAATAGACATTTTTTTTAAAGTGTGCTGTATCCAAATTCAGTCACAAGCACAGACCTGCTTTATTTTTCACATTCAATATAAATCAATTCTAAAAATATTTGCAAGTGTATATCTTCCTAAGCAATTAGAGTTCACAAAGAATGACAGCAAAGGGGATACAATCATTTAGGTTTTTATTATTTGAGTGTATGGGAGGGTGATTTTTTAAAGATACTTAGAATCACAATGATTTAGAATTTTCCCAAAGGCTATATATTTTATAATTATCTGCTCCTCTCACAAAGCACATAGGGAAGGTGCAGGTAATTTTCAAATATATGACATTTGGGATCACCCTCTTGTGTAGTAAATGTGTACACTGAATTTTAAGCTTTGATATCCTAACTGTTCTCCCTACTCCATCAAATGTGCATTAAAATTTTTTAATCAATTTTTTTGTAGATTTATATGCAGTTGTAAGAAATAATAGAGAGCTCTTGTGTACCTTTCACCCAAGGAACAGCTGTAAAGCTATGAAACAACATCACAACGAGGAAATTGACACCGATACAGTTTAATAGTCTTACTTGGCTTTCATCAGTTTTACATGTATTTATTTTTGTGTGCATATGTGTAAGTGTGTGTGTGTTTATATGTTTAGTTCTAGACAATGTTGTTACATGTGTGGGTTCATGTATCCATCACTACAATCAAGAGACAAAACAGTTCCAGAACCACAGGGATTCCTTCTTCCTCTTAGAGCCACACCCATGTCCCTCTACTCTCCATCGCCCCTGCCATCCCTAGTCCTTGGCAACCAAACGCTGTTCTCTACCTCTATAATTTTGTTATCTCAAAACATCATATAAATGGATTCCGTCTTTATTTATAGAGTTTTTGAGTGTATTCTTTGTGTGCGTTTCTTAGTGGTTGCTCTGGGTATCGCAATTAACAGATATAATTGACACAGTCTACTAGTAGCAACATTTTACTATTTCAAGTATGGAAACCTTACTTCCACTAGGTATCTTTGCCCTATCCACTTTTTTTCTTGTCTTAAGTATTCCTTCTATATATGGTGGACATTATCAAAGTTATACTTTTTGTTTTAATAATCTTATATTTGAAAAAACTCAGGAGAAGGGTAGTCCATTGTATTTTCTCTTATTTTGTTATTTTTTCATTCTTTCTTCTTGATGCGTCAAGATTTCCTCTTATTACTAATTCTTTTATGTTTGAAAAATATTTTTTCTTTAAGACAGTCCTGCTAGAGGCAAATTATCTGTTTCTCTTTCTTCTAAGAACATATTTATTTCCTCTTGATTCCTAAAGGATAGTTTTACTGGTTAAGAAATCATAGTTGATAGTTCTTTTTCAGAAGTTGAAAAATGCACCACTTCCTCTGGCCTCCATGACTTGAAATGGGAAATGCATTGTCATTTGAATTTGTATTCTCTTACAGGTAATAAGCTATTCTCTTGGGATCCTTTCAAGAAGTTTGTTTATATAGTTTTCATCTAGTTTTCACAGTAGAGTTCACTCTCCTATGAGAAATGCCCCCACTCATCTGACAGGAGGTGGAGCTCAGGCAGTGATGCTAGCTTTTCGAAGTTTCCTCTTGATGTATCTCGATATAGAGTTCTTTGGGGTTTTCCTAGTTTGGGGGTTTCACTCAGCTTCTTGATTGATTCTCTATCTTCCTGACTTTTGCCAAATTTGGAATGTTTTCAACCATTATTTCTTTGAATACCCTTTTAGTCCCACTCTCTTTCTTCTTTCCTTCTGGGACTCTAATGATATCACTGATGGATATTTTGTTATTGTCTCACAGGTCCCTGGGCCTCTGTTCTTTGCTATCTTTTCTTTTTATCCTTCTGTTTTCTCTCAGCTATTCAGATTGGGTGAATTCTATTTCTCTGTCTTTAAATTAACTGATTCTATCCTCTGTCATTTTCATTGTACTATAGAGAAAATCCAATTAGTTTTTATATTGGCTTTTGTATTTTTATTTCTGTAACGTCCATTTTTAATAACATTTTTCATGCTAAGGTTTTCTGTTTTTTTTATTTGTGTCAAGATCATTAGTAATTGCTTATTAAAGTATTTTTATAATGGTTGCTTAAAAATTTTTGTCAAAAATTTCAATATTTGATTCATCTCAGTATAGGCATCTTTTATTTTTTCTCATTCGGTTATGATTTTCCTGGTGTTTAGTATGACTAGTAAGTTTTTTTTATTATACGCTGAACATTTTGATTATGTTAAGAGACTCTGGATGCTAATTAGATTTATTCTAAGAAGCAGTTGCCCTGTTAAGGTATAACATGCTAGTCCTAGCTTTCAATTATGGGCTGTGGTTCTAATGAGAATTTAATTTTTAGGGACTTTGTGCTGCTATTTGGACAGGTTGATTTGTCTAATTCTACTGGGGGCCACACTGATCTCTTCTGGTCCACCGAAGGGAGAAGAGGAGATTCCTCAGGCTAAGCTGTAGTGGTCTAGGTGAGCTAAAAAATGCTCTAGCTCAGCGGTCCCCAACCTTTTTGGCACCAGGAACCAGTTTTGTGGAAGACAATTTTTCCATGGATGGTGGGCGGTATGTGTGGGGGATGGTTTTGGGATGAAATTGTTTGATCTCAAATCATCCGGCATTAGTTAGATTCTCATAAGGGGCACGCAACCTAGATGCCTCATATCCAGAGTTCACAATAGGGTTCACTCTCCTATAAGAAGTGCCCCTGCTGATCTGACAGGAGGCAGAGCTCAGGCAGTAATGTTGGCTGGCTCATGGCTCACCTCCTGCTGTGTGACCCAGTTCCTAACAGACTGCAAACTGGTACTGGCCCATGGCCTAGGGATTGGGGACCCCTGCTCTAGCTGACGAAAAGAGGATTACTTCCAGGGCTCTGTACTTTTGGTAGAGACATCCCCCCGCCCCCACCCCGCATATACCCTCCCGCCTCACCCTCCACACACACTGCTAGAGCTGCTTATCTGCTCAGAACCTCTAGATGGAGAGGGGAAGTCTTAGGCATCCTAGAAAAAGAGGTCACTTTCTCTGGCTGTTTGCTGTTAGTAAGGCTCCTACTTCATTCTCCTTGCAGGTAACCCAGTCTCTCCTGATATTGTTGGATGGATTCTCATTTGATCAGCAATAAAAATGAGTCTACCTAGACTACCTTCTGTTTCTAGTTTGTGGTTGGGAGAAGCTGGGTCTGGATCGTCTTTTACTGTTTGGGAAGCTACTGGGATTTTCCTCGGGTGCTGGTGTCTTTAACCAGTCCTCCTCACTCTTTCTACCTTTTAGAGTACTCTTTTAGTTGCTGCTTGCTTAATTCCCGATTCTACAGCTCTACTTAGTAGAGCACACAATGATAAACTTTTTAATGCTTTTGTTTTTCTCCCAAAATGAGTCAAGTGAAGCATAATTCAGCAAGATGCTAAAGTATCTTCTGTGAAACTGAGTGTCTTGTGATAGAAAAGGTGATTCAAACCAAAGACTGTATTAACATACAATACAGCAGTGGCACCAACCAATCAGAGCAAATTTAAAAGCCAGATAGTTTACAGGTGCCTTTCTGCTCAATATCAGCTCAAGTTGAAATAGTTCAAGTGCCTCTACTGCAGAGAGCTTGTAATAGGCCAATATTTTTGTTGTTGCCTTGGAAGTCCTGCAGCAGTCACAGTTTACCAAATTTATCTGTCCATAGAAGTGAACCCATTTTGTTTATAGCTTTTCTTGGCACTGGTATTCTATGAAACATTTGCAGAGGAAAGCTATGTTTATCAACATCAGTATCTACCTCATCTGAAGTATTGCATTAGATGTAATCATTTAATAAAAAAGTTATTTCTGAAAACATTAAGGAGCACCTAATTCTACTTTGATTTTTAAAAATCTGATAAAATATTTCAATATATTTAAACTTTCTTTTAAACTGTTCCAAGAAATAAGATTTGAATGTATGGCCAAAGAAAACATTTATTGTATTGTGTTGAAAATATATAGTCTAAAAATACTGACTGTTTCTGATGTCCTTATTTACATTTTCAATATTTTCTCTTTCCAGCTTTAAGGGACAATAGGATCGAGCTGGTTCGCGCTTCCTGGCATGAATTGAGTATTAGTGTCAGTGATGTGTCTCTCTCTGATGAAGGACAGTACACCTGTTCTTTATTTACAATGCCTGTCAAAACTTCCAAGGCATATCTCACCGTTCTGGGTAAGTGCAAGGGACTAACACCATGTAATCACAAAACCAGAATGATATATATTGCTACAGCAACATAATTCAATACAAAAATATATTTTGAAGATTATATGAATAGATATGGTTTAATCCTTTCTCTGCTACATTTTAACACAGGCGTTTTAAAATCATTTAGTCACTTTCAGCATTTTATAAAGGGACAAAGATAGATTCAAAGATGTATATGACTTCTAGAAGGCACATAGCTATTTTGTTTCTTAGCCAGCAATAGACACCGGTTCTCTTGATTTCAGCTAATTTCTTTTTTATCAAATAATCTATATGTTGTATATATTCTGATCCTTTTACGACATGACACAATAATGAGCATAATGAGTTCAACTTGTGTTCTATACTATGCTCCTTTATTTGATCATGTAAGTCACCTGATAAGGGCCTTTCTTGCTAACTTGTGGCTCTCAAATATGACCTGCTTGTGTATTTAGTGCATTTAAATGACCCTGATATTTCCATGTGTCTTCTCTCCTTTTGAAATTATATTTTCTAGATTCCTAAATGAAGTACCTAATGTCGCTTCAGCTTGCAGCTTGTAGTTTCTTTGTGCTTTTGTTCTCTAAATATTGGGCCATTTTCCCAAAGGTGAAAGTGACACAAAAAAAGCAATACATTCATAGAGATTCCGAGGAAATAAAGTTGCAGCTCTGAGCTCTCTGTGATTCCACAGACGTCAGTGCCCCAATCAGCTGAAATTGCTGCATTTCATTGAAACACACCTGCGTGCTGAACAAGTTAGAAGAATTTAAAGATTGATTTTTTTCCCCCAAGCTTGCTGCCCTCTTTAGATAGAAAAAGGCACAATGCTGCATTTAAAAGGACTAACACATGCTGTTCTTTTTGGTGGGAATATTAAAGTTAATCCAGCTAGTGAATTGGTTTTGTGCATAGGATATAAAACATTTCTCTGCAAGTGACACTGGGACTATTTTATAAAAATCTTCACAAGTTTGCCATTAAAGACAAAATATGCCCTCTAAAATGGAGTATTTCAGGATAACAACTGCATAAGGTTAATGTATTGTTCTGTAGAGAGCCAATTTGAAATCCAAAGAATAGATGACTGATGAATTCACTTTATTAAATGGTGATGAGGCATAGATTTTTTAAAAAGAAAGCAGGTAGTATGTAGGTGAAGACAAAAAATGTTAAGAGGAGTTATGTTAATTTTTCATGTATCTTTGTTGTTCCTGTTGTTTAATTTGTACTTCTCATATTGGTGCCTTCCAATATTCTTCTTCTTTTTTTTTTTTTTTTTAAAACGGAGTCTCACTCTGTAGCCTGGCTGGAGTGCAGTGGCGCCATCTCAGCTCACTGCAACCTCTGTCTCCCAAGTTCAAGCGATTCTCCTGCCTCAGCCTTCTGAGTAGCTGGGATTACAGGCACCTGCCACCACGCCTGGCTAATTTTTTTTTTTTTTTTGTATTTTTAGTAGAGACGGGGTTTCACCATGTTGGCCAAGATGGTCTCGATCACTTGACCTCGGCCTCCCAAAGTGTTGGGATTACAAGGGATGAGCCACCGTACCTGGCCATAAAATACAGAGATGATAATATTCTTTTTAAGCTTTAAGAACTATGAAATCAGGAAAGAAAGAAGCTAAAGTTAAATTATAATTTGTTAATGGATAAAGAAATATGTTTTGTGAGTTTTTTTTCTTTAATGCAATCTACCTTTTAAAATTTCTACACTAGTAAATTGTAAATTATATTAAATGATTGTTTTTAAGATTTACAAGAGTATTTTCACAGGTAAAATTTTACAAATGAGGCCAGGCACGGTGGCTCTTGCCTGTAATCCCAGCACTTTGGGAGGCCGAGGTAGGTGGATCACTTGAGGTCAGGAGTTTGAGACCAGCCCGGCCAACATGAGGAAACCCCATCTCTACTAAAAAATACAAAATTAGGCCAGGCACGGTGGCTCATGCCTGTAATCCCAGCACTTTGGGAGGCTGAAGTGGGCAGATCACGAGGTCAGGAGTTCGAGACCAGCCTGGCCAACATGGAGAACCACCCCCACCTCCCCGTATCTACTAAACGTACAAAAATTAGCCGGGCTTGGTGGCACCCACCTGTAATCCCAGCTACTCAGGAGGCTGAGGCAGGAGAATTGCTTGAACCTGGGAGGTGGAGGTTGCAGTGAACAGAGATTGCACCACTGCACTCCAGCCTGGGGTCAGAGCAAGACTCTATCTCAAAAAAAAAAAAAAAAAAAAAATTAGTCGGGCATGGTGGTGCACACCTGTAATCCCAGCTACTTGGGAGTCTGAAGCAGGAGAATCACTTGAACTTGGGAGGCAAAGGTTGCAGTGAGCCGAGATCGAGCCAGTCCACTCCATCCTGGGCGACAGAGCAAGATCCTGTCTCAAAAAAAAAAAAAAAAAAAATTACAATTTAATTTAAAAAACTACTTTGAGCTATATGCATCTTACATACTTTTTTGATACTATATATATTTATATATCTGTACACATATATATGTGTATGGATGTGTGTATATGTTTATGTGTATGCATATAGACATATACACCTAAGTATGTATAACACACACATATGAAGCAGTTTATTACATAGTAGTTTGTTCATCTTGATCGAACTTCTTGTCAATTAACCATCCAGTTCAGTTTCATGTGTGAAAGTAATAGACATAATAACAAATCAACCCTGAAGATTGATGCTCACTTCATCATTCGCTTAAATTTCAGGTGTTCCTGAAAAGCCTCAGATTAGTGGATTCTCATCACCAGTTATGGAGGGTGACTTGATGCAGCTGACTTGCAAAACATCTGGTAGTAAACCTGCAGCTGATATAAGATGGTTCAAAAATGACAAAGAGATTAAAGGTAAAGAATAGAAAAATGAAAATCAAAATTAATGTGCTGAAACCAGTATGACATGTTAAGAAAAAGGCATTTTACATTATTTTTCAAAACATAGTGTCTCTTACAGATTATGCATCATTTGAACCAGATTTACCCATTCTTAAGTAAGGTAATTTTACAAGATATATTAATATATAAGTATGATCCCTGTGGGCCTCATTTTCTTCTTCCGTAAAATAGGTTTAAAATAATATATGCCTTATAGAAAAGTTGAGGGAATAATTAAGTTAATATATGAAGAAACATATAGATTCATACTTCACAATAGTACATATTAGATACTATTATTTCAGACCTCATATATAATATTTTGGTTAAAGACAGAGAAACTGTATAAATTATTTCTTCAACTTAGTTTCGGGAATTATAGAGTTCTGAGAATAAAACTGGTTAAACATCAATAAATTTGATTCCTGTTAATTCTCACAAAAGGCAAAAATGTGTACTTGTCTAAGTAAAAGTGCATACTTTAAATTCTTTATACATCTAAATTTAAACTCCCTCTCTCTCTGTCACACACACACACTCAAACATACATTCTTTAGGAGGGGAATAAGTTTATAAGGGAGATGGCTTGGTATTTAAGTATAAGAATTGTTTATGATGATTATTAAAACATATTTCTTATGCCACTGTAATATGTATTATTTTCAACATTATCTTCTATGAAACAGGTTTATGCAAACCATTCTGCTTATTTTAAAATGTTATTTATCTATTTATTTTTAAGAGTTTTTAAGAGATAGGGTCTTGCTCTGTCACGCAGGCTGGAATGCAGTGATACGATCATAGCTCACTGTACCTCGCACTCCTAGGCTCCAGTGATTTTCCCGCCTCAGCCTCCTGAGTAGTTGGGAATACAGGCATGCACGACCATGCTTGGCTAACTTGTTTTATTTTTTGTAGAGATCGTGCTGTGTTGCCTAGGCTGGTCTCGAACTTCTGGGCTAAAGTGACCCTCCTGCCTCAGCCTCCTAAAGTGCTAGGATTGCAGGTGTGAGCCACCATGCTCAGACATTCTGATTATTTTAACCTATAATTGTGATACCTTATATCACACTAATTAATTCTTTGTAATGGGCATGCAGGCTTAGCAGATAAGATTGCCTATATTACTGAAAAATTATGATTATAATCCATGCAATTATTTTTATCAGTTTCCTGTTTTAATTACTCTTTCTCTGCATATTTTTCCCAAAAAAGGTCCTTATCCATAATTTTACCCTGATCACTACGCTTGCCTTAGTATTTCTAATAAATATACATTATTGGATTACATTTTGAGAAATACAAGTCCCAAGACACAAGTTAGACATCTTATTATGCTAAATTAAATTTCAGGTTACTGTGTAACCTGATTCTTGAATTCTGTCAAGGCTCAGTAACATCCATTCTAATTCTGCCTCTAGGATATGTTAGTCTAGGCATTTCTGGACTTGGTTAGATCTCTCTTTAATGGATGTTCCATAGTGCTTCCAGAGTTATCTTACTACAACAAGAATCTGATCCAGGCACTTTTCTGGCTTAAGCATTTCTAATGGAAAGCCCTAAACTTTAGAATAAGTTTAAAATCTGCTTTCTGTAGCCTGTAAGAATTCTCCAGGCAGTGAACTCTTACACGTCACATATTTCCTTTTGTGTGAAGGTCTTGGCTTACACTAAAATGCACTTCTTAGATACAATCCTTCAATGAATTACTTTATTACCTACATGTTTTTTCTTCCTAAATTCTGACACAATTAGTTAATTAATTAGTTGTTTACTCAGTTCTCACTTTCTTAGTATTTTATTTATGTTCCAAGGATTTGCCTCTTTTGTATCCTCAAGGAGGTCATACACTTTCACATATTAAGTACCTCATTAATATTGATTGATTGTTTTTCACATTGTAGCTGCATGACAAACCCATGATATACTCAGACATTTATAAAGGAAGTGAATTTTTGACAAAATTGGCCTCTGTTTTAAATGCCAAACAGATTTAATCATACATTGGGCAGGAGGGGAAAGATTTTTGCTCATATGAAGAAATATGAAAAGTTTAATCTTATAAACAACATAGTTTAAAATCATCTGAATCAAGATCAGAACAACAATGAAGACAGAAACAGGTACAGAATCAGAATATGGTTCTATGCAGTACTGAAAACTTGTGAAGATCCCATTTTTTCTATGCTCTTCAATGCACTGCCATTTACAGAGCATTTATCTCTACACTTGCATCTATCTATCTGTCTATCTATGTATCTATGTATCTATCTATCTAATCTTACAATTCTTTAGCATGTTTACATCGTTTGTCTCCCTAACCAGATGGTGAACTTTCTGAGTGGCATATATTTTATTTTTGTAAGTGTATATGTAAATACAGTTAGGTAAAGACTACGGCACAAAGTAAATATTCACTGTAGTTGCTGTTTCTGGATATGCTAAGCAAAATTTCACTCTTCCATCTTTTAGCAAACCCTCCTCATTTAAAGGGGTAATCCACCTTATCTGGCACTATTTTGTCTTTTTAGGGATAAAAGTTTGACTTCCTATTACTATCTAACTGTTTTTAGTATAATATCACTTGACACGTTTTAAAAAGACACTCCCTAGCATAAAATAAGGCAAACAGAAAAGACAGGCTAATCAAATTCAATTAAATTCAATTCAATAAGAAATTGTTAAAATGCCTCTCGATTTCACAGTATTCTATGGTGCATTAGTGAAGATGCAAATGAGAAACCAAGAAACTTGACCTGCAGCTGTTGAAGATGTCTTTGGGGTTATCAAACATGTTATGGAGAATATTTTCCTAAAAATAGAAACGTTTATACAAATCTTTATCTTTTCTCTATCACTACCTAACATATTAATTTTATATCCATGTTTCTGGGTAAAAGTCACTTGAAAGTGCTAGTTTATCACATTTTCTTGTCCAGAATATGTCCATACTTGGTTATAGAACAGTGGTTCTGAAGCTGTAGCCATTAAGCACAGGGCATCCTCAAGTACAGGGCTTGCTGAATCTCAGATTATCAGGCCTTGATCCAAGATTTTCTGGTGGAGCAGGCCCACGGGGGAGCCTGAAAATGTGCGTGTTTGCCATTGTGTTAAATGTGTGAATGATGTTGACGCTCCTGTTTCAGGATCACTTTGGTATGAAAAATATAAAATGAAGAGTATCAGTAAACTATACAGAAGTCCTGCCTCTGTCTCTGAGCTTTCTTTTTCTCCTTTGCTAAATAAGGACAATAATGGTTGCCTCAAAGTGCTTTTGCAAGAATTCTGTATAAAATGATATGTATGAAGTGTTTTCAGAGTACAAGGAATCACTGAATACATTTTAGATATTATTATCATTATCATTGTAATTTGTATTTTCAGGAAATCATGATGAGTTGTACCAATTCCTGAATTAGTCCTAGAAATATAAACAAATAAAACAAAAATATTCCACCCAAGCTTTCACAGTTGAGAAAGAGACATAAAAACATAAGACATAACAGGCACAGGTATATGAACTGGCTACAGTTTTGTGCAGAAGTAGCAGATATCAGCCCTACTTTGTGGGAGAGGTTAAGGCTCAACAGTTCATTGATGGAAGCAGGCACTCAGTAAAGATCTGTTTATTGAGTAAATGTGTCTTAAACAATGTATAAACCAAACAGTGACAGAAGCAAGTCTCAGTCGATCTAGAGGTTTATTTTGCCAAGATTGAGGACGTGCCCAAGAAAATAACACAAATCACAGAAGCATCTGTGGTCTGTGCCTTTTCCAAAAAGGGTTTGGAGGACTTCAATATTGAAAGGGGAAAGAGCAAGCAGGAGGGGAGTAAGAAGGAAAAAAAGGGGTTTAGGGGAAGGGTAGACAATGAGACAAGTGGTTACATTCTTGTGAGAGTTTGATTAGCTCTCAGTTCATCTGTATTTTACATGAGAAAGAGAGAGTAGGGGAAAGGTAAATTATGCACTTGTCTCTCACTCAGTCAATCTACATTTTACATAAGATAACCGTGTGAACAGATGAAGTGGAGGAAGGAGTCAATTATGCACTGGTCTCAGATAGGCAGAGGGATTATTTCTAGTCTTTCTTTGTCTCATACCTGTGAAGAAAAGCTGGTAATTTGCATTGTCATGGTTAGATTTTACAGAACTATGTTTTAGGGCTAGTTTATAGGGAAGGCATGTATTCTGATAGATTATCGGACCCAGAAGGAATTTCCTTGTCAGTAATTTTGGAGAGAGACCATTTGGGGAGATACATGGCCTTCTATTATTATAAGGCTGTGACATAGGTTTGTGAAATTGTAGCTATCAGTTCATGAAAAAAAAGAAAGACTTTTTTTTTTCTTTTTTTCATTACTGAGATCCCAAGCTTAACTTTCCCTTTGGCGCAGTGATTTTGGGATCCTGAGATTCCTATTTTCTTTCACAAAGGAGTAGAATTCATCATATGTGTTTGGGACAAAAGTAGGTGGTAGGACACTTTGAAGAAATGAATTTCATATATCTATGCAGAGTAACAGCATGTGATTGAAATAACTATGAAACTTTATGTGTGGTATAGGCATGAGAAGTAAACAGAGAGGCAGGGTTCAGTTATGTCATGAAAGAGCTTTTATTCCAGATTAAGGGTTTGAAATTTATTCTATAGGCAATAGTGAGACTTTTTTTTAATAAGCTTTCAAAAGTAAAATGAAACAATCATAATTTCATCCAACTCTGTTTTTTATCCCCTTTATGAGAGTTTTACTCAGAAATCCCTTTGGTGCCTCTGGGCAGAGCTGCATCCAAAACCACAGGTAGTTTCACTGCAGCCTTTAATCTTCTGCATAGCAAGAAAGTGAATATCTGCTACTTAGTGTGAGAAAAGATGTGCATTGCCTTCCTAAGTCTGTCAGCTCCCTAAGAGCTTACATTTACATTAAAGTTGTCATTCCATGTATAAGTTTAGTTCTGTGCAGTTTGAGGATTTGCTATTACAAAACCATGAGATCTTTTCTACCTAACTAGCTTTTACATTAATGCATTAGGCAGCATTCTATGATAATCCTTAATTATCCACACCCTTGTATAAACCCTTCCCCTAGCATGTAGGAGATAATTGTGAATATGATGTGATATGATTGCCTCGAATATGATACTTTATATTACAAAATGGGTTTTGCAGTTATCACTGTGGGCCCCTTTTGAGTTCATCAAAGGGTGATTATCAAGGATGGGCCTCATACAATGAGACGAGGTCTTTAAGAAGGGGTAGAGTCAGAGAGACATTATTTTCCTGGCCTAGAAGAAAACAAATAGCTATGCTGTGAATTGTTTACGGGTGCCATGTGGCAAAGAACTGTGGGTGACCTCTAGGAGCTGAAAGCAGTCCCAGGTGATAGCTAGTGAGAACATGGGGACATCAGACATATAGTCTCAAGGAAATTAATTTACTAACAATCAGAGAGCTTGAAGAGGACCCTAACTCAGATTGAAACTATAGCCCCAGCTAACATCTTTATTTAGCCAAGTGACACTGAGCAGAGGACAAGGCTTAGCCATACCTTGATTCCTCACTCACAGAAACCCTGAGATAATAAATATGTGTTGTTTTAAGCCATTAAACTTACAGTAATGTGTTACACAGCAGTATTAGGAAACTGAGATCTAGAGAGACAGAATATTTTTTCATGGTCACACATCTGGCAAAGACTAGCCTTGAATATTCTGATTCTAAGACCCAGCACTTGGGTTTGGGGAGAAGTCTGAAGACTAGCTTAGTACTTAAGAGGCATTGCAAGCAAGAGCTGGTAAGTACCTGAACTAATGGATGACAATGGAATTTTTTACAAAGAAATGGTTCTGAAAGAGAAGATAACTTTCAAGTGAACTTGGTGAATGATCTGGACAGATGGAGTAAAAGCAAGCATTAAGATTATAAAATTCAGGTGCCTAAATGACTTGGATAATGAATGTTTGCTCATTAAGAAAATGAGAGGCAGTAGGAGAAATTAATTCACACACAAATTATAATATGTTCATGATATGGTTGGCTATGTCCCCACCCAAATCTCATCTTGAATTCTAGCTCCCACAATCCCCGTATGTCATGGGAAGGACTTGGTGGGAGGTAATTGAATCATGGGGGTGTGTTTTTCCCATGCTGTTCCCATAATAGTGAATAAGTCTCATGAGATCTGATGGCTTTATAAAGGCAGTTCCCCTGCACACGCTCTCTTGCCTGCCACCATGTAAGATGTGCCTTTGCTCCTCCTTCACCTTCCTCCATGATAGTGAGGCCTCCCCAGCCATGTGGAATTGTGAGTCCATTAACCCTCTTTTTCTTTATAAATTACTCATCTCAGGTATGTCTTTATTAGCAGCATGAGACAGACTAATACACTAATGAGACACTGCTGTAAAGTTACCCAAAAATGTGGAGGCGACTCTGAAACTGGGTAACAGGCAGAAAGATAGGGACAGTTTGGAGGTATCAGAAGAAGACAGGAAAATGTGGGAAAATTTAGACTTGCCTACAGACTTGGAGGGCTCAGAAAGCAGGAAGATGTGGGAAACTTTGGCACTCCCTAGAGACTTCTTGAATGGCTTTGATCAAAATGCTGATAGTGATATGGACAACAAAGTTCAGCCTCAGGTGGTCTCAGAGGGAGATGAGAAACTTGTTGGGAAGTGGAGTAAAGGTCATCCTTGCCATGCAAAGAGATTGGTGGTATTTTGCCACTGCCATAGAGATCTTTGGAACAACTGAACTTCAGAGAGATAATTTAGAGTATATGGCAGAAGAAATTTCTGAGTGGTAAAACAGTAAAGAGAAAGCAGAGCATAAAAGTAGGGGAAATTTGCAGCCTACTGATGTAGTAGAAAAGAAAACCCCATTTTCTGGGGAAACGATTCCTTATTTAATAAATGGTGCTAGGAAAACTGGCTAGCCATATGTAGAAAGCTGAAACTGGATCCCTTCCCTACACCTTATACAAAAATTAATTCAAGATGGATTAAGGACTTAAATGTTAGACCTAAAACCATAAAAACCCTAGAAGAAAACCTAGGCAGTACCATTCTGGACATAGGCATGGGCAAGGGCTTCATGTCTAAAACACGAAAAGCAATGGCAACAAAAGCCAAAATTGACAAATGGGATCTAATTAAACTAAAGAGCTTCTGCACAGCAAAAGAAACTACCATCAGAGTGAACAGGCAACCCACAGAATGGAAGAAAATTTCTGCAATCTACTCACCTGACAAAGGGCTAATATCCAGAATCTACAATGAACTCAAACAAATTTACAAGAAAAAAACAAACAACCCCATCAAAAAGTGGGTGAAGGATATGAACAGACACTTCTCAAAAGAAGATATTTATGCAGCAAGAAGACACATGAAAAAATGCTCATCATCACTGGCCATCAGAGAAATGCAAATCAAAACCACAATGAGATACCATCTCACACCAGTTAGAATGGCGATCATTAAAAAGTCAGGAAACAACAGGTGCTAGAGAGGATGTGGAGAAATAGGAACACTTTTACACTGTTGGTGGGACTGTAAACGAATTCAACCGTTGTGGAAGTCAGTGTGGCGATTCCTCAGGGATCTAGAACTGGAAATACCATTTGAGCCCGCCATCCCATTACTGGGTATATACCCAAAGGATTATAAATCATGCTGCTATAAAGACACATGCACACGTATGTTTATTGCGGCACTATTCACGATAGCAAAGACTTGGAACCAAGCCAAATGTCCAACAATGATAGACTGGATTAAGAAAATGTGGCACATATACACCATAGAATACTATGCAGCCATAAAAAATGATGAGTTCATGTCCTTTGTAGGGACATGGATGAAGCTGGAAACCATCATTCTCAGCAAACTATTGCAATGACAAAAAACCAAACACCGCATGTTCTCACTCATATGTGGGAATTGAGCAATGAGAACACTTGGACACAGGAAGGGGAACATCCACACCGGGAACTGTTGTGGGGTAGGGGAAGTGGGGAGGGATAGCATTAGGAGATATACCTAATGTTAAATGACGAGTTAATGGGTGCAGCACACCAACATGGCACATGTATACATATGTAACTAACCTGCATGTTGTGCACATGTACCCTAAAACTTAAAGTATAAAAAAAAAACCCCATTTTCTGGGGAGAACTTCAAGTGGACTGCAAAAATGTGCATAAGTAATTAGGAGCCAAATGTTAATCACCAAGACAATGAGGAAAATGTCTCCAGGGCATGTCAGAGACCTTCAGGGCAACCCCTCTCATTACAGGCCCATTGTCCTAGAAGGGAAATAGGGTTTCCTGAGCCAGGTCCAGGGACTTCTTCTGTGTGCAGCCTCTGGACATGTTGCCTTGCACCCAGCTGCTTCAGCTCCAGCTGTGGCTAAAAGGGGCCAACTTACAGCTCAGGATGCTGCTTCAGAGGGTGCAAGTCCCAAGCCTTAGTGGCTTACATGCAGTGTTGAGCTTGTGGGTACAAAAACTCAAGAATTGAGATTCTGGAACCTCTGCCTAGATTTCAGAGGATGTATGGAAATGCCTGGATGTCAAAGCAGAAGTTTGCTGCAGGGGCAGGGCCCTCATGGAGAACTTCTGCTAGGGCAATGTGGAAGGATAATTGGGGTCATAACCCCCACAGAGAGTCCCGACTGAGGCACTGCCTAGTGGAGCTGTGAGAAGAGAGCCACTGTCCTTCAGACCTGAGAATGGTAGATCCACTGACAGCTTGAAGCCTGCACCTGGAATAGCTGCAGACACTCACGCCTGCTATGAATGCAGCTGGGAGGGGGGCTGTACCCTACATATCCATCTGGGTGCAGCTGCCTAAGGCCATGGAAGCCCACTTCTTGCATCAGTGTGACCTGGATGTGGGAGCCCACCTCTTGCATCAGTGCGACCTGAATGTGAGACATAGAGTCAAAGGAGATCATTTCAGAGCTTTAAGATTTGGCTGTCCTGCCAGATTGTGACAATGCACAGGGCCTGTAGATCCTTCATTTTGGCCAATTTCTCCCATTTGGAACAGGTGTATTTACCCAATAACTATACCCCCATTGTATCTAAGAAGTAACTAACTACATTTGATTTTACAGGCTCATAGGCAGAAGGGACTAGCCTTGTCTCAGATGAGACTTTAGGCTGTGGACTTTTGAGTTAATGCTGAAATGAGTTAAGACTTCAGGGGACTGTTGGGAAGGCATGATTGGTTTTGAGATGTGGGGGCAATCTGTGTCCCCATCCAAATCTTATCTTGAATTGTAGCTCCCATAATTCTCAGGTGTTATGGGAGGGACCCAGTGGGAGGTAAATGAATCGTGGGGGAAGTTTTTCCATGCTGTTCTTGTAATAGTAAATAAGTCTCATGAGATCTGATGGTTATATAAAGGGCAATTCCCCTGCACACTCTCTCTTGCCTGCTGCCATGGAAGACATGCCTTTGCTCCTCCTGTGCTTTCTGCCATGAGGCCTCCCCAGCCTTTGCTCCTCTTTTGCTTTCTGTGAGGCCTCCCCAGCCATATGGAACTGTGAGTCCATTAAACCTCTTTTTCTTTATAAATTACTCAGCCTTGGGGGTGTCTTTATTAGTAGTGTGAGAATGGACTAATACAGTTCATTCTTTAAAATGTTGAGGTTAAGGCTGGGCATGGTGGCTCATGCCTCTAATCCCAGCCCTTTGTGGGGCTGAGGCAGGAGGATCAATTGAACCCAAGACTTGGACATCAGCCTGGACAAAATAATGAGATCCTCTCTCTACAAAAAATTTAAAAATTAGCTGGGTGTGGTGGCACATTAGTCTTAGCTGCTTGGGAGGCTGAGGTTGGAAGATCATTTGAATCTGGAAGTTTGAGTTTGCAGAGAGCCATGATAGCACCACTGCATTCTAACCTGGGTGACATAGTAAGACCTCGTCTCAAATAAAAGAGAAAAAAGTTTGAGGTTGAAGTAATTATACAGAATTTAAAAGGTTATGCTTATAGTAGGTTTTTGAAGTTAAGTGACTTATAATGAGGAAAGAGATTTTGAATATATAAAGATCTGCCATTCGGTAATAAGAAATGTATAAGTTTTAGCCTTTTAAAATAGCCATTTCTCATGATGTGTACAGTATGCTTCAAACAAAACTTATCTCCACATGCGTTCCCTGCCCTGAGAATTATGCTGTGTACACCTGGTTAGGCACCAAAGCTGGACTCTGTAGTGGGTCACTGAAGTTTGCCAGGATCTAATGGTATTGCCATCATTCTATAAGCATTATTTACTTATTATATACCGTGTGTTTCAAAATGTTTGGCCATTAAGCTCGAATTGACATTAGCTATGTTTCCTTGTGTGAGTAGGTTCTTGCCATACATTTTAATGTCAATCAAAGATAATGCAGCTTCTAATTTTCAAGTTGGCAAAATATAGCATAATTTTACTGTAAGCTGCTTATATCGGCAGTTGGAGAAGAGTGAATTTCTGAATGCTGTGCTTCTCAAAAAGTGGCCTTTAGACCACTTAGATTAGAATCACCTCAGGTGGTAGTTTACAAAATGCAGATTCCTGGTTTTAAAGTAGACTTACTAAGTCAGAATTCCTGGTTGTCAGGCCTAAAAATTCCATTATTTCTCATGTATCTGTAATGTTCCTTATTATTAATAGAGTTTCAGAACCCGTGGGATTAGAGACTAATAAGCAAAGCATTAATAGGTATTTAGGAAAGAAAGGAAGGGGCTTCCTAAAGTAGTAAATTTAGAAAATGACTCTTAACATTCTTTCTACCTTATGAGTTCTTTCTTAGAGGAGGATTCTGTAATATGGAATCAGGATGTATGTTAGCATTATTAATGTTTCTGAGAATTACAACAATAATTGCTTTAACCTACATCTTTTTTTTTTTTTTTTTTTTTTTTTTTTTTTTTTTTTTTGAGACGGAGTCTCGCTCTGTCGCCCAGGCCGGACTGCGGACTGCAGTGGCGCAATCTCGGCTCACTGCAAGCTCCGCTTCCCGGGTTCACGCCATTCTCCTGCCTCAGCCTCCCGAGTAGCTGGGACTACAGGCGCCCGCCACCGCGCCCGGCTAATTTTTTGTATTTTTAGTAGAGACGGGGTTTCACCTTGTTAGCCAGGATGGTCTCGATCTCCTGACCTCATGATCCACCCGCCTCGGCCTCCCAAAGTGCTGGGATTACAGGCGTGAGCCACCGCGCCCGGCCTAACCTACATCTTAGTAATAGTCTCTGGCCATATAACTCGATTTTTTTATTTCTTTATTTCTTGCTTGCTTGTTTTACTTTTTTTTGGATTAAGCTTTGTGGAAACTACTTGATAAATGGTAGATTATATTTTTATTTATTTTATTTGGTGTTGCAAAACTGGTTTTGTCCTAAGGACTCATTTAACATCAGTTGTATAAAACTTTAATTTGAATGAGTAAAATATTAACATGTAAACCAGACATTGCAAATTCTTTGAAATTAAACATAAAAGAAGAGGAAGAGATTTGTGTCCCCTGAGTTTAAAGTCCCTGCATCATGTATAAGAATGAATTTAAAATATCATTATTTAAACTTATAGTATATGCCATAGATCTGTTATTTTTATGTTCCTTTATTTATACTTACTGCTTTGAAAGTGGCCTTGCCATTTCATCCAGAACATGCTGGGCACTATATTAAGTGAGAAAAAAAAATTAATAGCATTTAAATGTGGGTATGTATATCTGTGTGTGCGTGCACATAACTTGAAGTTTTCTTAATGGTGTTAAACGCAGTACCTCAAGACTCAGGCAATACTAGGAGATACATAAGTCACTCTATAGAAGGAGATATAATGATTGTTCCAGGTGTATATGAGTGGTTGAGTTGAAAGAATAATCACCAGAAATCATTGAGAGTCTTTACTTTTTCATATTTATTTTAAAAATAAATTTATTAAGATATAATTGACAAAAATCAATATATAGATATTTAAATTTTGCAATTTATTAAGTTTTGACAAATGTCTGTAGTAGTGAAACCATCACCACAAGCAAGATAAAAAATGTATTTATTATCCCCAAAAGTTTATTTATATCCTTTCCAACACCTTCCCTTTGCCTTCTCTGCCCACTCTCTACCTCAGTCCCAGGAAACCATTGTTCTGCTTTATGGTACAATAGATTAGTTTGCATTTTCTGCAATTTTACATAAAAAGAATCATAGGGTCTGTACATATCTTTCTTTTTTTTTTTTTGAGTCTCAACATAAGTATTTGAGACTCATTCATGTTGTTGCATGTACATAGTTTCTTCTCTGTTTTCTTGCTGAATAATATTCTATTGTATGGATACATACGCCACAATTAGTTACCTGTTTACCCAGTGATGGACATTCAGGTTGTTTATAGTTTGCAGATATTATAGTAAAGCTACTATGAACATTTGTGGGTACAATTTTGTATGGCCATTTGTCTTCATTTTTCTTAGGCAAATGCCTAGATGCAGACTAGCTGGATTATATGGTAGCCATATATTTAATTTTTTAAAGGCCTTGCCATTTTCCAAAATGTTTGTACTACTTCATAAAATCCAATTCATTTATTGTGTATATATATATATATATATTTTTTTTTTTTTTTTTTTTTTTTTTTTGAGACGGAGTCTCACTCTGTCTCCCAGGTTGGAGTGCAGCGGTGCAATCTTGGCTCACTGCAACCTCTGCCTCCTGGGTTGGAGCAATTCTCCTGTCTCAGCCTCCTGAGTAGCTGGGATTACAGGCGTGCACCAACATGTCTGGCTAATTTTTGTAATATTAGTAGAGACAGGGTTTCGTCATTTTGACCAGGCTGGTCTTGAACTCCTGACCTCAGGTGATCCACCCACCTTGGCCTCCCAGAGTGCTGGGATTACAGGTGTGAGCCACCGCACTCAGCAATATTACTATTATATTTTAGTTTTATGAATCATGCTTTAGTTTTGTATGTGAGAAATTTTTATCTAACGCAAGATCACAAAAATTATACATATACATTTTGCCATTTAGGCTTAGGTTTTGAATCTATTTTGAGTTAATTTTTGTATTTTTAATGCCTTTGTTATTACTACCAGGTGAATTATTTTCGGGTCAGTTTCCATTGATTGATTTATTTCCTCATTGTAGACAGCATTTTCGTGCTTCTTTGAATGAATTATGGTTTTTTTATTAGGTTCCAGATGCTGTATATTTATCTTTTTATTGTTGTATATTTTCATATTGCTATAAATATTCTTAAGCTTTATTCTAGTCAAGTTATTTAGAGGTTAGTCCTTTCAGAGGTTTTTAAAAATTTATTAAGTGAGACCAGAACAGTATTTGACTAGGAATTATGTTTTTCCTGTTTATTGATGTAAAATTTTTCTGTGTATCCAGTGCCCTCAATTGTAAGGATTTTGGTTCTGGCTGATGGTAATAGGCACCATTTACGGTCCTGTTTGAACATCATATGCAATTTCCTCTAATCCTTTCAAATAGATCTTGTCCCAGCCTCAGTTTCCTTACACAGATGCACTGATTAGTTCTTAAGCGAATACTGGGGGGAGCACTATGGATGTCTGGAGTCCACTCTTTGTCCATCTCTCTTCTTCTCGGTACTCTGCTCTGCAAACTGATTTTGCCTTCCAGGCTCCCAGCTTCATCACCTTAACTCAAAGAGGCCACCAAATTCTTTTGCATGGGTTCTCCTCCATGCAACGCATCGTGTAAAATCTCTCAAGATATTAAGCAGGGACTATTTTAGGGTTCATCTCACTTATTTTCCATCTCTAAGAGATCATTTTTCATTATGATGTTCAATTGTTTTAAAAATTATTGTTTTCAGGTGAAAACAACAATTTGTCTCTGTTACTTCATCTAGACTAGAAGGAGTAGTCTTTGTCATTTTGTTTTGAATTGTAGAGAAATATACTTTTATTTCAATGGTAGTGTGTCTCAACCTTTTTGCTTGTTTAAGGTTTATGAGAAATTTAAAAGATGAAAATGAATGAGAGGGAAACACATCCATACCTATTTTGACAGGCTATTTTAAATTAAAAATCATGCGAGTTTTGAGGTTAGACATTATTTTGCTTAGTTACAGGAATTTAGTCTTGTTATGAATTCTTATACATTGTTGGAATGGAAAAGAAAATTTCGGTATGTATATCATGAGATACATAAAAACATTTTTTTTAAATTTTTACTGGCTTTTACTTAGTGTCAAGGAATTGACCAAAGAAATTGCTTCTTTTTAAACTTGTGATTAATTAATGTTGTTAATCAACGTATTTAATTTAAGGGTTAAAGCAAGTGCATACCTTAATCTTCTAGCACTCATAAGCCCATGAGTAATCCTGACATTATAATAACAAAAATATTCAAATTTGCTAGTTCCATAGCTCTCATCCGGTGATGGAGGGACTTAATTACTGCTCAAATTTTCTTCAGGTTATTTCCAAAAAATATTTTATGGCTTCTTCATATGTGAGGAAAATACCTTTTTCATTCTTTAACTTTGAATTTTTCATGGAAATTCACTTCATGATCCTTGTGGCACATAGGAGAAGGTAGCTTTTCCCATTACCTTTGGCTAATGACCTTCTTTGAATGCATAAGATATTTTACAAAATTTATGAATCATATTTTACTAAAATTAACTCGCTAATTAATTGATTACCCTGTGTCTATGAAAAATACAAAAATTAGCTGGGCGTGGTGGTGCACACCTGTAATCCCAGCTACTGGGGAGGCTAAAGCAGAATTGCTTAAACTTGGGAGGCAGAGGTTGCAGTGCACCAAGATGGTGCCATTGCACTGCAGCCTGGGTGACAAGGGCAAAACTCCATCTCAAAAAAAGAAAACAAAGCAAAAACAAACAAACATAAAAAGACATTAGATCCAAACAATTTTTCACAATATGATCAAATTGATGTCTTAGTGTAGCAGTATCTAAATGAGTTGGTAAATTACCTTCCATTTGTGTTGGTAATGGGAAGTTGATTGAGATAGATTATTTTACCTACATTATGTTATAGTATAGATTACAGTTGGATCATGAAGTTCAAGTGCATTCATTGTCTGCTATTTTATTTACTAGTTTGGAAATAAAATACTCTGTTTGCTGAAAGTAGTCATTATATAAAAAGTCTTCCAAGGTAATCTTCCAAGAGAATAACCAATCTTACCTTTCCGTCACATTTTTCTCTTCAATCAGTAACTCTAAATTTAAAGTGTTATTTGTATACCTCCCAAATTGAAGCCAAACCTGGGGTTAGCTATTTTTATTTATTTTCACATAGAAACATTATTTAGATATAATTCACATCATCAAATTCATGTATACAATTTAATAGTTTTTAGTAAATTCACAGAACTATGAAACTCTCACCACAATCAATTTCAAATTTTTATGATTCTACAAGAAGCCTGTTAGTGATAACTCCCGACTTTCCCCCAACTGTCTCCACCCTAACTCTAAGCAACCACAAATCTACTTTCTGTCTGTATAAATTTGCCTACTGTGGACATTTCATCTACAAAAATATATATTATGTGTTTTTTGTGATTAGCTTAGCATAAGCTAATATCATCTGTGTTGTAGCATATATCAGTACTTTATTCTTTATAATTGCCAAATAATATATCATTGTATGCATATTCCATATGTTATTTAGTCATTCATTAGTTGATATGCATTTGGGTTTTTATGCTTTGGGGCTTTTATTTTAAAACTCTGCTATAAAAATTTAGGTGCCAGGTTTTGTGTAGAAATATGCTTTCAATTCTCTTGAGTATATTCCTGAGAACAGTATTGCTGGACTAAATGGTTTCTGCTTCACGTACCTTAAGTGCTCTCTTTACATAGATGTATACATACTTATAATTGTTATATCTTTCTAATGGATGGTCTTTTCTATCATTTTGAAATGTTCTCCATTATTTTAATATATTTTATTTTAAAATCTGCTTTGATATTAGTATAGTCACTCTAGCTTTCTATTGCTTGCTGTTTGTATCATATATTATTTTTCATCCTTTTATTTTCAGTCCATTTGTATCTTTAAATCTAAAGTGTGTCTCCTGTAGAAAGCATATATTTTTATCATTTAAAAAAATACAGTTTTATAATCTCGGCTTTTTGATTGAATTTTTAATCAACTCACCTGTAATCTTATAATTGATATTGGTTAATTTCCATGTATGATATTACAATAATTGATATAGGTTTATTTTCATCCATGATTTTACATTTATCTTCTATGTTTCATGTCATTTTTGTTTTATGTTCATTCTTTACCACTTTATGCTATATGAAGTAAATATTTTCTAGTTTAACATTTAAATTCCTGTAAAAATTTTTCACTTTATTTTTAAATTATATTGTTAGTAGATGCTCTCAGGCATATCATATATATTAACTTATCAGAATCTAAATCAGATTCATAATAGCCTAATTTAGAAGATATAGAAATGCTACTACAATATAGCTGTTTGCTCTTTCTCCCATTTTTGTAGTATTGTTGTTAAACATATTACATTTTAAGATGTTAAAAACACAACAATACATGATTACAATTATTACTTCATATAGTGTTATGTCTTTAATAAAGCTGAGAAAAGCAAGGATACCAAGTACCTAAAATTTGTTACATAAAACATATTATATGTTTTTAATTCTCCTAATTTCTTCCTGCAAATTCAAGTTACCACCTAGAATCATTTCCTTATTCTACGAAAAACTTACTTTTTATCCACTTCCTTTGTGCTGTTATTGTCAAATATATTGCATTTTCTTGTTATAGACCCTGTAATACAATGATAAATAATTGTTTTACATCATTAATTTTGTTTCCCTGAATAATCTTTGTTCTGATTATTATTTTTTAATCACTTAAGAGAAGAAAAAAGAAGAAACATGCCATTTTAACCTCTTTTTAATTATACAATTACCTTTACTGGTGCTTTTTTTTTTCCTTTTCTATCTGAGATCACTTGTTTTAGCCCAACTTTCCTTAACATTTCTTGTAAGGCAGGACTGCTTTAATAACCTCTCTTAGATTTTGTTTACCTGAAAAATATTTTATTTCACCTTCATTTTTGAAAAATAATTTTACTGGATATCAGGTTCTTATCTGACATTTTTTCCTTCTTTTAGCACTTGGGATATGCTACCCAACTACCTTCTGACCTTCATTGGTTTTGATGAAAAGTCAATTGTCAAGGGAGTTCCTTTGTAAAAGTACCCGTTGTTGTTGGCTTATTGTTTATTGATTTGGATGAGGTATTTCTATTGCAGTGTGATGTCATTCCTCAGGAAACGCAGGCTTTGGCACGTGCACAGCCACCGTGGGAATGATAATGGCTTCAGCAGGGCTCTCACTGAATGTCTTTCTTTCCTGTTGTCTCTGTTAAGCTCTCTGCTTACGTTAGTATCACACCCAGTGATTCCCCTTCACTATTTGTCAGCTGGTTGCCCTACTGTTTTCAATAATGCTATGTGCATAAGTTGTTCTATAGCTTGATCCATTTACATCTAGAATCCTTTGCTGGGCTTTATTGTTTTGTTTTGTTTTTTCTTGAGGCCAGTCTTTGAGATTTTCTTTAACCTGTGACGACAGGAAGGCCGTTGCTAGTTGTCTTTTTCTCTGGTTTTCTTTTATAAACTATGGTTTAGCGTGCTTATCTCATCTAAACACAAGGGCTTTCTTACTTGCTTTCTTCCAAAGTCTCCACTTTGAACTTCCCCCAACTCTGTTCCAAATAGTTCGTTCCCTTAGAGAGCTTCAGAAAAACACTTCCCTGTTATAGCTGGCTTCTTCCCTGGGCAAAATGGTGGTAGCTTCCGGTCTTCTTGCTTTGTCTCTTCTGGATTGAAATCTCCCCTCTATAAGTGAGCTAAAGTGAGAGCTATTGGGGTCCCTTTATTCTTGGCATATGAGCAGGGACTGGGTGAAAGAAGAGAGTCCCAACCTTTCAGCCACACCACCTGGAATTTTGACTTTGCAACCAAGAGTAATAATGACTGAAATAAGAAATGCTGGCAGCCTGCCTCTTCTGGAAAGGACCGTAGTCCTTCGTTGAGGAAACATGGATCTCCACCTTGGGTACATCTATCCAGTTTTCCTAATGCTGAGTTGGGGATGAGGTTGAATTAGGGAGAAAGTCATGGTTCAAATACCATAGACTCTATCTGTTCTTACTAAGATTTGCTAGTTTTTTAAAATAATTATTTGTTCATTTGCTATAGACCCTTGGCACAATTTTCAGAGACCTTAAATATGTATGTGTGTTTTAGAATAGTTTTCACTAGTTATGGTTGTTTAGCTGGAGAGAAAGTCTGCAGAGCTACTTATTTAGCATGATGTTCAGGAGTTGCCCCCAATTTCTTTTTCATACTCATACGTTTTCACGATATTGACTCGTAAATTATTCTAATTTATCTTCTTAAAAATATATTCCTTGCTTTATGTTTATGTATCCTTTTGTCTCTCACTTCCTGCTAATTTTTCATAGATAAAATCTGCACTTTTCTATTTTATATTCAAAAAATGTCTTTATTTTTTGCCTCTATAGGAGATGAAACTATTTTATAATTTTCTTTTTCCTTGTAAGTATAGATAATGTTTAGTAATGTTATTCCCCCTTTTTTTGTAAAATTTATATGGAAAAATGTTTATGAATTGAAAAGATTTAACAGCTAGGTATATTTTTAACTTGGTAATTTTTCATTTAGTTTTTTTCTCTTTAGTGATATTGCCAATCTCCTTTCTTCCCCCTTTTGTCTATGGTGAATGCCTGAACTCCCAACTCTAGGAAGTTCTGATAAATGGGACTCTAATCTAGTTGATCTGCAGTGAGAATTACAATGGCTGTGGAAAATAGCAAAGATAGAATTGAAAAACAAAGGGTAAATATAGATCTGCGTAAAAGAAAAAAGTTAGTCTGTCTAATTCCAAATATTTTGTCATATCCCTCTAGATTTTGTATTCTTCCAATACAGAAACTGATGGGAGGATTTAAAAAGAGATAAACTACAAAGAAAATCAATTAAAGACTGACAACTGTCCCCGAATTATATATATTGACATGGAACGAATCTACTTACTAGAAGGAAAAGAAGCTTTACCTGGCTGATTGCAACCTTTATTTTAATTAATTAAAAACATACTTGTTAAGCATCTATGATGTTTCAGATACTGTCCTAGATGCTGTACCCAGCGTCTAAAACCTATAGAGAAATATAAAAATTAGGAATTTCTGCAGACGAAAGAAAGAAAAGAGAGCAGAAGGGAGAGAAAGAATGAACAGAAAAAGAAAAATAATTAGTAAAAAAGGAAATAACAAAGTTAAAAATTTAATCTAATCTTTATTTTATGAATACATAATTTATATTGAACCTTGTGAATGTCCCAATGGGTAATTTTAATTTTTAAATGATGTGATTCTCAGAATACAAGGTAACCTGTTGAAAAATTATTGTAAAAACTCTGGTAGTACATGGTACATAGAAATATTGTAATATATTCAGAAACTTATCATTTCATCACAATGTTTTACTGATGCAAGTGATTCATTTATTCATTTTCACTATAGGTAGATGAGGAGCAGGTTGCTTTTTCTGACATGTGCTGAGTGCTGCAGGACTCCATGAAACAAATAGTTTGATTACCAGAAAATTGCATCATCATAAATGTTTCAAAGAAGTCACACTTGCCTGCTGCTACAGAAGTTGCTCAAATGCGTAGATATTTTTATTTCCTTAAAGTTTATTCTACTGAATAGACTTAAAATAATTTTCTGCCATATGTTATTATATTTTGGGCATGCAATAAAACATCATTTTAAATATATTTGAGGAGAAAGGACATTCTAATGTAGACAAATATAGAGCCCACCCTGAGGCTTCGAGTCAGGTAATATATGTACCTGGTTCTTGTAGCACCTCTCAATGTAGATCTGCGAAATAACATTTAAGATACATTTTATGAAAAGCATTGACATTTTACTTGTCTGGGTAAACTGAAAAAGAGACTTTAATATTTAGATAAATGAAGTATCTCCTCTTAATAATCTTCCATAAACATTATTTTTCTCATCTGACCTTTTCAGATCTATTAAGAAGAGCTGAATTTCAGTACTATTCCTTGCTAAGTGGGATAGTTATCCATGTTACCAATGAATGGTGGGGTCATACCTGTAGAGTCAGTTAAGAAACAGGATTATGACTGGTACTTCCTTCAAAAAGTTGAATATTATAAGGACTTTTAAAAATCTACCCTATTTCAGACAGGAATTGTATGAAAGGGTGCTCATAGGCAAGAATGAGATTTGCCTCAAGAATTTGTTTGAATTCTTTTTCAGTGCACAAATGAATGTGGTTACCAGACTTTAAAGTTATACAATGTAAAATATAGCCACTATGTTTGGTCTAGAGACAGTTTAAAACAAATACAAAATGAAAAGCTTTGCTTGAACATTAAAGAAAAGTGTTTTGTAAAATATCTTTGAGCATTTAACCTTAAGACACACACAAAAAAGTATTGACATTTCCTCTAAGACAAATTGCCTTTAAAGTATGCATCCAAGTTACTGAATGAATTAGCCAGACATAGTTACTTTAGGTCAGTTAAGAAAGAAATAATGGGGAAGTTGGCTGTGTTCTAAAAATGGTGTATTTAGTTTTAGGAATTTTGATTTACAGAACTGTGAAGCAGTAATTACAACATGTCCAGTTCTCCACTGAGTTCGTTCACTCCTAATTTTTGACAATAAAGCCAACTCTCATGTAATGCGTATATTTTCTGTTCTCTATGAGATGAGGTCATGAATCTAGCTCACTGGTTATGGCACAAAATCATTAAAGGACCACTGACAACAATTATGTGGATTCAGACTAAATTCCTTGATTTCTCCCCCTGAAACTATCATGTTATCCATCAAAAACCACTTTTACAAACCTTACCTCTGAAAATACTAGTAAAGTTCAAGTTCCATATAAGCATCACTGTTTGGGACACACTAAGACCATGCTGTTTTGCTCATGGTCAGAGAATTCAAGGCCCATATAGGAAATGTCACTTAATAGCCTACATGATTCCTAAGAGATACCTTCAAGTGATGAGAAAATATGGAAGTTTCAGTTTCTAAATCCTGCCTTGTTCCCAGTGTGGTCTATTGAACTTGGAATGGATTAAAAAGAACTGGCCTACTCTAGGCAGATGGCTGATAAAGAGGTCTATTTCAGGATCCAGGGAAAGTATTTCATTATAAAAGTGAAGGTATTGGCTGGACACGGTGGCTCACACCTATAATCCTAGCACTTTGGGAGGCCGTGGCAGGCAGATCACCTGAGGTCAGGAGTTCGAGACCAGCCTGACCAAAGTGGCGAAACTCCGTCTCTACAAAAAATGCAAAAATTAGCTGAGTGTTTTGGCATACACCTGTAATCCCAGCTACTCAGGAGGCTGAGGCAGGAGAATCACTTGAACCTGAGATGCAGAGGTTGCAGTGAGCCAAGATTGCGCCACTGTACTCCAGCCTGGGTGACAGAATGAGACTCTGTCTCAAAAAAAAAAAAAAAGAAGATATCTTCTTTTCCAGTCTGTCTAAATAGCACCAAAACCGCAAAAGTGGAGAAAGCAAATAAACCAAAATAGTTGAGATTATACTGCTCAAGGCATATAAGCACCACTGTGGAGACAAGGCAACTTCTCTAGGAACTTCACTTAAGAGGATTTTCTTTTTCCAAAACTTCATTCTAAAAGTGGCCAGAAACTAGATATAGAGCCTGATGAGTTAATATTATAAACCTAGGAAAGATGGATATGAAAGTATCTCCGGAAATATGATATTTTGTGAAAAAAAATTGGATGCAAGAAAATCAAGATATCTTGGCTTTTTTTTTTCTTCTTTTTTTTTTTTTTTTTTTTCCAGTTAACCTAACTTGAAGCATTTAAACTTACTTATTTTGGGTGCTCCAGTGCTCGAACTTAAATTTGCTATTTCTTTTTTCACCTTAGTTCTTGCTAAGACAAAAGATCTAATCTCCTGAATATAAGGAGATTGCTATTCTACAATCCAGATTTTATAAAGATAAATAATATAAAAACTAATAGAAAGTCCTTTATCTTGAGACTTTACCAAGAAATATTTAGGCAGCTAATTTTTGTTTAGAATTATACTTGAGGAATTTTTCTTTAGGTATATTTAAAAATTTTATTATAGAAAATTTCTGACATATGCAAAGTAAGCACAATAATAGAATGAGAAACTGCATGCCATCACCCAATTTTAAATGTATCGACATTCAGCCATCTTTGTTTCATCTATCCCTCTAATTACTCTCCACTCAATTGTAATTATTATAATAACTTACGGTTATGATTTTTTTTTTTTTTGAGATGGAATCTCACTCTGTCACCCAGGCTGGAGTGCAGGGGCGTGGTCTCTGCTCACTGCAACCTCCACTTCCCGGGTTCAAGCGATTCTTCTGCCTCAGCCTCCTGAGTAGCTGGGACTACAGGCACCCGCCACCAGGCCCAGCTAATTTTTTGTATTTTTAGTAGAGATGGGGTTTCAGCATGTTAGCCAGGATGGTCTCGATATCCTGACCTCGTGATCCTCCCACCTCGGCCTCCCAAAGTGCTGGGATTACAGGCGTGAGCCACCACGCCCGGCCTACAGTTGTGATTTTTGAGGGAAAATTTACATACATTGAAATAAGCTAATCTTAACTGTAAAATTTTTACACAAATTGCAAAGCAGATGACCTCACACCGCTTTTGATGTAGAGCATTTCCTTAACTCCAGAAAACCCGAATATATTCTCTCCCAGTCAGTTTCCCACATGACTCACCACCAAAAGTGACCACGTTTTGACTATTTAAATGTCCAGAAGGTCTACTAGAGAGAGTAGGAGGAGTGGTTATGTGGATTATGAAAGAAAGAAATTCTGAAATTTCCTTTGTTTCTTGTTTGTTCTCAAGGTTTTCTAGTCATTTCATTAACACATTATGTAATATATAGGACGTGCATATTTTGAAAAATGTAAAATGAAATATATATATATATATATAATGTCCAATGGAAGTTTTTGAAAAGAAACAATTAAAAAATAACAAGAGAGAGAAAAAGAGAAAAAGATGGGAAGAGTAAGTCCCACTATTCCCACTCCATCTTTAGTTATGTCTCCAGTGTCAAATGTTTGCACTGTACTCTTGCTCCTCAAAATATGGTCTGTGGGCTAGCAGCAGACTCTCAGACTCCACACTCTAACCTACTGAATGCGAATCTGCATTTTAACAAGATCATATGTGCATTGCATTTTGAGAAGGCTATTCTTGATCACCATGTAATATAACTGACATGCAAAGGAAAGGAAAGTGGACAGAACATGAAAGAAGGATACACGTGGTATCAGCAAATAAACTATACAATGTAAAGAAAATTTCTGTTGGCTCTATAACTGTGTAATGCATCGTTATTTTAAAAATACAGAAAGGGAAAGCAGAGATACATTTTAAGTGTCTTCTCTATTCATTTCTTTGGGGAAGAAGGTCAGCCTAAAATATGAGAAAAGATATTATGATTGGCTCTTCTCAATGTTTTTTCTGTTCATCTTAAGGCTTCTGGTAACCCTATAATCTATCACATAAGCCGATATTAAAATCAACAAATTACACTTTTGTTTATTTTACTTGAATTAGTTCATTAAAATTTTATGATTTATACAATTGCTATCAAATGTTATGTGTCCAATTAATATTACATTAAATGCTACTTTTGTAAGGGAAACAGCTAAAAGAAGCAGATGTGTGAGTTCTTAAAGTGCAGCTGTTATAAAAAGTAAACAACCAGCAGTAATACTTTGGAGTAATTTCTCATATGTTGTGTAGCACAATTATAAAAATTGTTTGTCAAGAGATCAATATTTTCTTACTCTGACACTGCTTAGAGCTAGGAACAAGTAAACGTTGGGCATAGAGTTATAAAAAAAGAAAATAAATGTAAAAATGAAGCAACATATTTGTATAAATCTATGAGACTGAAAAGTGAAAGAACCTTATAATATTTTAAATATAAGCAAAGAATCATAAATGCATCTGAATTATTGTGACATATTTTTTCTGAAAGGTCATAGAGTCTTTAATATTTTTAAATGGAATTGTACCTAATTTTCAAGTGCAAAAATCTTAGTAAATGACTTTAGTAAAAATGAGATGAGATATTTCATAGGACACGTTTATAAACAATTCTGCGTATAATTTTGTATCCTGTGTTATTTACTTTCAGTTAAAAGATGGAATTGAGACTTCATGGTTCTGTTCTTCTTTCTAAATGTTAGAGATTTTCTTACTCTTCAGAATTGCCTAACATACATAAAACATTTTGTGGTAAAAATCTTAATTAGGTCATTTTCCCCTAATATGTGAAACTATAAACATATTTTCAAGAACAAGACATATCACATCTATCATTTAATCTCTTACTAATGTTTATTTTATTTCTATCTTTAAAATCAATCAATATGATAAAGTCATACTTCTGAAATAAGTGAAAGTTAGTGAACATGCATATGTCTATTAATCAAATGTTACATCAAATCCAATACTATTTTAAAAGCCCAATCTTTGCGTAAGGCACAAAGATAGAAAAACTGAATGTATTCATTTTTGTTATTAATACATTTTAAAATGTTTTTAAAATAAATTACTTAATATAAGTTAAAATCAAATTATGTATTTTATGTGAAAGGTCTTATTTACTGACAATATCAATGTTTATTTGATACTGAATGATGTAAAAAAATGACAGAAAGCAAGAAAACTGAATACACTTTTCCATCAACTACATTTAAGATCTTGTTATAATGATAACTTAACCTTATCTTATTAGTTTGATTTCTAAACCTTTAAAATTGCCCTCTTCTTATCAGCTACTTCAGACTTGAGAAATTACAAATTAAGCAAAAATATTGCTAAACCTCTTTTCCACAAAGAACAAATAGTCCCTTAGTGCACCATTTAACGATGGATCTAAATCATGCACAGCAAGTTTAAATATCGATAAATGAATTCACATCTTGTAGAAAGTACTCTTGTTCATGCTGAAATAAATTCCTCAGCCAAGTGAAGAGCATTCATCTCAATGTAAATTTCACTGCAAATATATACTTAAGTATTCAAAATATTCAGATGGCTGTGCTCCTTTTCTTTCCAAAGATGACAACTTTCTCATCCTAAGTATCCTTTAGCAATTTATGTTCACCTCACATTGTTCATGTTAAAGTTGTATTTCAAATGCATTGTGCTTTCTTTTAGGCATAGCCATATAGTTGTAAATTTGCCCTTCCTAACTGTGCTTGTGGCTCAGAAAATTAAGATTATGTTTTAGTAAAACTTATAGCTAAGAGAAAAGACAGACTACTTTTGTAAGATGATATGCATTGTTTTAATGGAGTATATAAGAATATCTTGTGCCTGATTATAAGCTAGGTAAGCCTGAGACCAAAGAAATAAAATTGCTGCGCCCCCACCCTTTTATAATATTTCTGGATCTAGCTCTTAGAATTTTTTAATTTTTTTTATTATTTATTTATTTATTAATTTTTTTTTTTAGACAGAGTCTTGCTCTGTCACTCAGGCTGGAGTGCAGTGGCGCCATCTCTGCTCACTCTGCAAGCTCTGCCTCCTGGGTTCACGCCATTCTCCTGCCTCAGCCTCCCGAGTAGCTGGGACTACAGGTGCCCGTCACCACATCCGGCTAATTTTTTTTGTACTTTTAGTAGAGACGGGGTTTCACCGTGTTAGCCAGGATGGTCTCGATCTCCTGACCTCGTGAAGAATTTATTTTTTAAGTAATTGTAATTTTATTTAATTGAATTGAAATAGATTAAATGTTAAAATCACAAATATTTGCTTCTTAAAAATTGATAAAAATAGGGAGAAGCTGTTTCCATTATCTTGAGTAAATGCAATCTGTTTTATTTTGAAAGGTGTCACATTTTAAAATTCATATTTTATTTTCAGATGTAAAATATTTAAAAGAAGAGGATGCAAATCGCAAGACATTCACTGTCAGCAGCACACTGGACTTCCGAGTGGACCGGAGTGATGATGGAGTGGCGGTCATCTGCAGAGTAGATCACGAATCCCTCAATGCCACCCCTCAGGTAGCCATGCAGGTGCTAGAAATACACTGTAAGTAAACACTACTTCCCCCTCCTTTATCTCAGCAGCAAATCTCTTCATCTGCATCTAAAATCATTTCAAAACTACCTGAAGTTATAGCAAAGGTGCAGTAAAATCCACGGCAAAATGAAGTAAAACTACATTCACTAGTATTAATCAGGTTCAAAGGAAAACACTCCTTGTCTGAGTTTCATTCTTAACAATGAGGAAAAATGAAGGAGATGTACGAGGTTAATACTCCTATGTTTCAAATTGTGGCTTAACGTAGGCGTGCACGTAAGGGTGGGGGAGAAAAAGTAGTAATTTGAGCAAAATCACTGAGAATCGGTAATCTGAGAGGGCCTTGATGAACAGTGTTATATTAAAATAACTTTATTTTATGCAATTGTGGCTTCTCAGCTATGCTTTTAAGATTAGACTAGTTTTACCTTCTCTATGGCATATACTAATGTATAAATATAGGAGCTTATTTATTATGTTTTCATCATCATCATTATTCACAATCAATAAGAACAAAATTAATTTTGTGAATCTAATAGATCGGGGCAGTGCTAAATGTTTTGCTGGAATTATGTCATTGAGTACTCATTTACGAATAGTAGCCTGATGAGTAGTTACTCTCATTAGTCACAAGATACACACAAGGATTCTGAAGATTATGGAGGCTGAGTCACACAACTAGCAAATGACAGACTTGTAATTATGGCAGTTTTAGTACCTAGCAAGGTTTTAGTAGACAATTATATATACTAATCAAAATGAAAATGAATGAATTGAAACATGTGAAATAAAATATAAAAGAATAGAGGATAGGAGATAATATGTTCTGAATTGCAATATTTGATTTTCTAGATAATGAAGATTTTGTTTTCTCTATTTGTGATAAAATTATAGCTTGAGCTTAGAAATTGTGTGTGATATGCAATTACATTAAATCCTAAAATACTAAACTCTAAGTACTGTTCCAATATGTTTCATTGCATTTTGTTTTCATTTATTTATTCAACAATAATTTTTTAGTGGCACTATGTAATAGGCATTGTTTTGGGCACTGGGGTTACAGCAATGACCAAACAAAAACACAAAACAAATTGAGTTTGTCTCCAAGTGTCAAAATAATCACCTCCGCTATCACCAACAAACTTCATTTCTCTTACAGCATCCATTCTAGGTAGGGATGAAAAAAATAAATAAATGGAACATATCACATGTTACATATTGATAAGTACTAAGTACCTGTTGATAAGTACATGGCTGCAAGGAAAATAAAGCATAGGAGGGCAGTAAGGAGACTGAAATGGAGATTAAGGAAAGTGAGTATGTGTGTTGGTGTAATGCAGAGGGAAGGGCAAGTACAAAGACCCTGAGGTAGCTTGTTTGTTGTTTTTATTTCTAGGAATAGCAAGGGTGCCAGTGAGACTGGAGTAGAGTAGACTAGGAGAAAAATACAGAGTGTTGTGAGAAAAGATTGGAGAATTGCCAGGTGAACTAGAATTTTTTGATTACTTTTTATATGGAAAATATAAAGCTGACTATAATATGCTTATTTTTAAATTATTCTTAGTTTAGTAGTTATTGAAAACATTATAATGTTTAAATGATTACAATTATGTTAGGTTAATTTTAGTAATTTACTGCTATTCTCCTTGAAGCAAATTCAGAAAGAAGCATACTTCAGAGCCCAAATGGAGATTATCTCTCAATTTTGACATTTATTTGTATTTTGGCTTTGGGAAAATTACTGAAACTCGTTGAGCTTTGATTATAAAGTAGAGGAGTCATTCCTGTGAGGATGTGATGATAGGCTAGAGAATTAATTCCTTGAACTTAAGTCAAGTTCATGGCATTTAATAGACTGAATAAATGTCAATTGTCTTCCTTTTTCTGTTTCTTTTTCTTACATCAGTGGGTCTCTCAAAATATAAAAAATTGTGTAACAATATTTTTAAAGGACCAGGATCAACAGCATTTTAATTTAAACTCTTTAATATTTACATACAAAGCAAAGTAAAACTAAATTTAAAATAATAATTGACTACTTAGTTAACGGTAATTCTAACATATAATTAAATAAAACAATAAAAATCAGTCATAAGAACTATTGAAGACCACTTCCAGTCACAGATCACCCAAAATCTACCAATAGTCAAGCAAAACCACATTTATGTAAGTTGCTCTGGCAAAGGAGAAAACATAGCAGATGAATCTCTGGATGTAGGTAAGAAAGAGTGAGAAGAGACTTGTTACAGGATTTGGGCTTGTGCCGGCTATTCTAAAGAGGCTTCTGGATTGTGTGTTCTCAGGATTAGGAGCATGTCAGTGATGGGTGTATGAGTAACTTTAGCTAAAAAATGAAAATATTGTAGGTTTGCTATTATAAAGACACAGTAGTTAATTTTGCTAATTTTGTGGACATTGAGGGTCCTGATCTCTGTCTTGTTTCACACCTGGTCATAAGATGAACTTGTCTTTGTGTTATTCCACGCCACAGTCACAGACTACCTTTATTTGATTACTCTACACATTCTGGAAAATTGTTTGTTGAGAATATTTTAGCCTATATGTCAGCTGCCAAGGTCATTTTCACTACTTTGGAAATCAAAAATGGAAGTATTATACAATTCTTGAGCATTTTAGCCATTAACCATATTTCAATATGCATGAATAAGTAAAACTTCATGGAGGAAGGCAATTGAATTATCTAATTTTTAAAGAAAGTTTTACATTAAAAATGTTACACTTTTCATGGCTAGCCAATTAAAAATAGCATCTCATTCTATCATGGTTTAATATGTAAATGGCTAGAAGGCAGAAACCAGATCTATTTAAATTATTTTCCTAGCATCTAGCATACCATCATTCAAGTATGTGAAGTTAATTAAAACTAACTGATGATAATGCTAAATGTTTCTTTAAGCGTGCAGAACATTCTCCGGAGATTAAATGAGTAGAGGATGGAAAGGAGACATTGAGCAACAGTCAGCATCAATATTAGAGCAAATTGGTGTGATTTTCATAAACATCTTAGAATAATGATAATAGCATCTCAATAGTTGTTCCCAGAGACAGTAGATCATGGCTGCACTTAGATCCACATGTGCAATCTAGATTATATAGAACTTTCCATGAATGAGAAGGAGGAAAGAAGAGCTCAGCCTTGGAAACGAAGAAGATGGGTTAATCTGGGATTTATGGAGCATAATTTTAGTATTTCTCCATTGTTTGACAATATTCTTGTGATGAATAACCTAAAAGACTGGCCCAAATGGAAGAACATTTAGCATTTCAGATCCACAGAGATGATATTGTTTTCAGTGGTAAGTCAAAAGAGTAAATATATATTCCTACAATAATGGAAACAGCTATGACTACATCTAAAATAAAAATCCTCTGATATTGTAGAAACCTAAGTTTGGTGAGCAATAAGAAATTAAAGATAAACATACAATGCCAAGAGGCATAATGAAAAAAGTATAGTAGGAGGACTTATATTTCTAGGGCTTAACTGTGTTAAGTCTGTAACCTTGTGATATACAATTTATATGAATCTAGCCTGTAAAATATATCAGAGCAATGTTTTTAAAAATAAAATATTAATCATACATTTAAATACTGCCACTATGATGAAAGAGAGTTCTCTTTTTTTATTATTATACTTTAAGTTTTAGGGTACATGTGCACAACGTGCAGGTTAGTTACATATGTATACATGTGCCATGTTGGTGTGCTGCACCCATTAACTGGTCATTTAGCGTTAGGTATATCTCCTAATACTATCCCTTCCCCCTCCCCCCACCCCACAACATGCCCCAGTGTGTGATGTTCCCCTTCCTGTGTCCATGTGTTCTCATTGTTAAATTGCCACCTATGAGTGAGAACATGCAGTGTTTGGTTTTTTGTCCTTGAGATAGTTTGCTGAGAATGATGGTTTCCAGCTTCATCCATGTCCCTACAAAGGACATGAACTCATCATTTTTTATGGCTGCATAGTATTCCATGGTGTATATGTGCCACATTTTCTTAATCCAGTCTATCATTGTTGGACATTTGGGTTGGTTCCAAGTCTTTGCTATTGTAAATAGTGCCTCAATAAACATACGTGTGCATGTGTCTTTATAGCAGCATGATTTATAATCCTTTGGGTATATACCCAGTAATGGGATGGCTGGGTCAAATGGTATTTCTAGTTCTAGATCCCTGAGGAATCACCACACTGACTTCCACAATGGTTGAACTAGTTTACAGTCCCACCAACAGTGTAAAAGTGTTTCTATTTCTCCATATCCTCTCCAGCACCTGTTGTTTCCTGACTTTTTAATGATCGCCATTCTAACTGGTGTGAGGTGGTATCTCACTGTGGTTTTGATTTGCATTTCTCTGATGGCCAGTGATGATGAGCATTTTTTCATGTGTTTTTTGGCTGCATAAATGTCTTCTTTTGAGAAGTGTCTGTTCATATCCTTCGCCCACTTTTTGATGGGGTTTTTTTTTATTGTAAATTTGTTTGAGTTAATTATAGATTATGGATATTAGCCATTTGTCAGATGAGTAGGCTGCAAAAATTTTCTTCCATTCTGTAGGTTGCCTGTTCACTCTGATGGTAGTTTCTTTTGCTGTGCAGAAGCTCTTTAGTTTAATTAGATCCCATTTGTCAATTTTGTCTTTTGTTGCCATTGCTTTTGGTGTTTTAGTCATGAAGTCCTTGCCCATGCCTGTGTCCTGAATGGTATTGCCTAGGTTTTCTTCTAGGGTTTTTATGATTTTAGGTCTAACATTTAAGTCTTTAATCCATCTTGAATTAATTTTTGTATAAGGTGTAAGGAATGGATCCAGTTTCAGCTTTCTACATATGGCTAGCCAGTTTTCCCGGCACCATTTATTAAATAGGGAATCCCTTCCCCATTTCTTCTTTTTGTCAGGTTTGTCAAAGATCAGATAGTTGTAGATATGCAGCATTATTTCTGAGGGCTCTGTTCTGTTCCATTGGCCTATATCTCTGTTTTGGTACCAGTACCATGCTGTTTTGGTTACTGTAGCCTTGTAGTATAGTTTGAAGTCAGGTAGCGTGATGCCTCCAGCTTTGTTCTTTTGGCTTAGGATTGATTTGGCAATGCAGGTTATTTTTTGGTTCCATATGAACTTTAAAGTAGCTTTTTCCAATTCTGTGAAGAAAGTCATTGGTAGCTTGATGGGGATGGCATTGAATCTATAAATTACCTTGGGCAGTATGGCCATTTTCACGATATTGATTCTTCCTGTTTATGAGCACGGAGTGTTCTTCCATTTGTTTGTGTCCTCTTTTATTTAGTTGAGCACTGGTTTGTAGTTCTCCTTGAAGAGGTCCTTCACATCCCTTGTAAGTTGGATTCCTAGGTATTTTATTCTCTTTGAAGCAATTGTGAATTGGAGTTCACTCATGGTTTGGCTCTCTGTCTGTTATTGGTGTATAAGAATGCTTGTGATTTTTGCACATTGATTTTGTGTCCTGAGACTTTGCTGAAGTTTCTTATCAGCTTGGGCTTAGACGATGGGGTTTTCTAGATATACAATCATGTCATCTGCAAACAGGGACAATTTGACTTCCTCTTTTCCTAATTGAATGCCCTTTATTCACTTCTCCTTCCTGATTGGCCTGGCCAGAACTTCCAACACTATGTTGAATAGGGGTGGTGAGAGAAGGCATCCCTGTCTTGTGCCAGTTTTCAAAGGGAATGCTTCCAGTTTTTGTCCATTCAGTATGATATTGGCTGTGGGTTTGTCATAGATAGCTCTTATTATTTTGAGATATGTCCTATCAACACCTAATTTATTGTGAGTTTTTAACATGAAAGGTTGTTGAATTTTGTCAAAGGCCTTTTCAGCATCTATTGAGATAATCATGTGGTTTTTGTCTTTGGTTCTGTTTATATGCTGGATTACATTTATTGATTTTCGTATGTTGGACCAGCCTTGCATCTCAGGGATGAAGCCCACTTGATCATGGTGGATAAGCTTTTTGATGTGTTGCTGGATTCGGTTTGCCAGCATTTTATTGAGGATTTTTGCATCAGTGTTCATCAAGGATATTGGTCTAAAATTCTCTTTTTTTGTTGTGTCTCTGCCAGGCAGAAAGAGAGTTCTTTTAAAACTGAAATTTAAGAAAATCAAAAGCAGAACTTTCACAATGAATCACAAATACCTGCAGATTTTACATAACAGGGAAGAGGAAACTTCACAACTGAGCAGTGGGAAAAACCACTTTTAAAAATTAATCAATGAAAACTCAAATTTGTCCTCCCATTTTTGCACAGATTTCTTTGTAAAATAACTTTTTATTTGTGAGTTAATTTTTAGAAGAACATATTGTATGAGTCAGATATTATTTAAATCTCAGTATAAATAATGTATCTGCACTCACAGTGCACAAAACACAGAAAAGAAGAAAATGACTGAATATTCATTTTCTGTATGTATCATTGACAAAAATTACATTAAAAATAAACTTAATGAAAATGAAAAGTGCAAGAGACAGAAAACTAAAATATGTCAGACTATTGTGTGTTTTTCCTGAAAAAGCATTTTAATACTGTAACTAAGAACTGAAAATATGAAAAATGAGAGTTCAAATTTTAAAAAATGTGTGTAAAGTATATTTTCTATATAATTCATCTCATCATGAAATCTTATGCTTATCATTAATGTTTGTTTAGTACTTCTTTTAACAGTACTAGGCTTTGCCTATAAAAATGAGTAGCTATTTACACATGAAAGTTATTACTGTTTAAAGCAATAAATAGTTAAAATAGCTTGTAGAGGAGACCCTGCATGTACACCCAAAAAATTCTGAGTATCAAGGAAAGGAAGGAATGAATGGCTGAAGGAAAGGAGGAAGGATGAGAGGAAAATAAGCTGAAGTGTTAAAATTGTGTTTACATGAAATTAATTAGGTTAATAACGAATGAAAATAAGAAATATATCATATATATTTAAAATAACAGAAAAACGTTTGGGTCCAATTGTTACTAAAATTATATCTTTTTAAGGGGTTAAATGGTCAATTGACAGTCCTGACCTTCTTGATGATTATATCTCTATTCTAGTTACCATGCGAATTACTAATAAAGTCAATCCATTTTTCTCTTAACAACTTACATTTTTAAAATGTATCAAACTATTTCTGAAGAGATTCCTTCCTTGCCTTACTCCGTTTTAAAGATAATTACTTTGTGCCCAGAGAAACTAAATTCTTCCCTGTACTTTTTTGTTACTTTTCTGGACCAACTAATATGCTTGATCAGTTCTCTGTTTAGTTGCAAAACAATGAAATTGATTTAAAATAAAATTCTGATTATAGAAGACAATATTCAATATAGATGGGTTTAAAGTTTGGTAATTCAGTTGTTCGTATCTTCTTTTTATTCTCAGATGTGGGCAGAGATTCTTTATTTCATGTATTCTTGGCTGTTGTCCTTTTTCACTTGTAAAAAGTAATAAAGTTCTTATCTATGCAGTCTACACTACACAAACCCGTACGTTTCTCTAGCCCAGGTCAGTTTATTTTAAATTGCCCTATGTTAGTTATATTCTCTTTGCTTTCACTACCTTTCTACATATTATATATTAAGTGTTTCAGGATATATCAGCTTATCAGATAGGAAGACGAATATTCCAAGGAGCATTCAAAATAAAATATCTCACTCATCTGGCATCTCATTTATGAAATGCTAATTATCTAATTATCTTGTCTACCACAAATTATATATAGCATAAGGGCACAGAATATAAAAGGAAATAGGAAAGGTGAAATGAAAATTATATTTGGGTTACATTTTTTTAGAACTAAACTGTTCTTTTGACAAACAAAATGCCATATTTATGCCTGGGAATGCCTTAGAAGAATTTTAATTTAGCCTAAGATATTTCAAAAAGCTACTGAAATGGTATATATGCTAGAATCATAAGGTGATCTATGCTGTTTAGTAAGAGATGCATTTCATTATGTCAATAAAGATAGCCTAGAGTGTGACCACTATTTGAGATTCTAAAAAATTTTTAATTTTTTTCAGAGAAGTTACATTTATGTATATTACCAGCAGTATATATTAATGGCACATTTTGCTCATGAGACAAATATTGTTTTCTTTTATAAAATATAAGAATATTTATGTTAAATATTAAAAGTAATTGAATCATCAGGTATTTTAAGCCATCTACAGGCAAGGATTCAAAATGTTGTTATTGTGCCATCTTTATATTATTAATAGTACGTAACAATTTGTGTGTGTGTTATTAAAACTCATTGAAGAGGATATATATATTTGTGAATGGGAATTCCAAATTAAAAGATAATAAATGTATATATAAAATTAATATAACATACTCTCAAATTTCCTAATTAAGCTTATCATCAAGTACGCATTTATAAAACTTTTTGGAAGTTTTAAAATTATTTTGAAAACACACCTTAATTTCATAAAGAGGCAGTAAAACATAACATCAAAATTATGGAATGTATGTATAGTACAGATGTTAGTGAATGTTTTCAATTATTTTTAAGTCAGTCTAATAGAGAATAAAAACTGGATAAAAATGAGACATAAATGACCGTGACAAGTAAAAATATCATATACATCTTGTTAATACCTAATATTTTTAACTTTCAATTTAATAACTTATTCTACTTTATGTCTATTTTTAAAAGATAGCTACAGGTATTTTTGTATTAAAAATGAGTAGATATTTAATGCCCAATATTTTGAAATTTTTGTATTTCTACTTTCTGAATAAACTATAAACACACACACATACACACACACACAGACATACACACAATTTCCATGAGAAAAACGTATAGTTAGAAAATGACTGTAATAAATCAATGTATTAGACTTTACTGGATTGGCTCTTGATATATTAGGAAAGATTGTTATTGCTATTTACCATCAGGTCCAATAGTCTGGTGTTTTTTTAAATAATATACTTTATTTTTAAGAGCAGTTTTGGGTTTACTGATTAGCTGAGCAGAAAGTACAGAGGGTTCCCATATACACCCTCTCCTCACTCCCCTTATAGTTTCCCCTATTATTAATATCTTGCGTTATTGTGTTATCTTTGTCACAACTGAAGAACTAATATTGATAGATTATTGTTAAGTAAAGTACATCCTTTACATTAGGGTTCACTCTGCATTGTGTAGTTCTATGGGTTTTGACATGTGTATAATGTCATGTATCTACTGTTATCTCTCTCTCTCTCTCTCTCGTTACATCATCCAATTTAATTCTACAGCCCAAAAAATCTCCTGTGCTCCACCTCTTTATCTCACTTTACTTCTCCCACAAGACCTGGTAACCAGTGATCCTATTATTGACTATAGTTTTGTGTTTTCTAGAATGTCATATAATGGGAATTTTGCAGGATGTAATCTCTTCGGACTGGCATCTTTCACTTAGCAATATGAATCTCCTTTTTCACCAGTACCTTACTGTTTTGAGTACTGTAGTTTGATACTGTGTCTTGAAGTTGGGTAGTGTCAGTCCTCAGATGATTCTGCTGCTGCTGCAGATTCATCATCATCTTCTTCTTCCTCTTCCTTCTCCTCCTTCTTCTTCTCCTCCTTCTTTTGCTTCTTTTCTTTCTTATTCTTTCTCCTTTCTTCCTCTTTCCCCTTCTTTCTCTTTCCTTCTCCTTCTTCCCCTTCTTTCCTTTCTTCTCCTTCTATATTGTAATTATGTTATGTTGGTCAATTTGTAATTATAAATTGTTGTAATTTTTATCACATTTATAATTAAAATGTGATTAATCAGTATATTAAACTTTATTAATCCTCAATGTATCAGGAAACAAAATAGTCATATCTACTATCTGGGCCACACTTTTTTTGTTTTATACTCTAAGTCTTTTTTTTAATGACGTATTAATGTAATAATAAAAGGAGAGTGAACAACAAATTTTATTAGAACTTTCAATACAAAATTTAAACAGAAAAACCGGACTTTTTATTATCTATTTCTCTGGCTTTAATGGTATATATACACAAATTGCGCAATAATTGGCATGCATGATCCTGAAATATACCCATCTTGTAAATAATGAGTCAAGCTTCAAAATGCATCTCTACTGTGTCCTATCTTGTCATTGCTTTTTGGTTCTTCTTTCACTAGCATTGTTAGAATGCAATACTTTAGAAACACTTTGATGGCTCATAGTTTTACCCAGAAGAATACAATATCTTTATTCCATAATTGCAAAACATTTTCATTTTTAGATTTATAAAGAGCAATTAAAATAAAACTAAAATATATATTTTTTGTTGTTTTTTTTTTTGAGATGGAGTCTCGCTCTGTCACCCAGGCTGGAGTGCAGTGGCACTATCTTGGCTCACTGCAACCTCCGCCTCCCGGGTTCAAGCGATTCTCCTGCCTCAGCCTCCTGAGTAGCTGGGACTATAGGCGCCCGCCACCACACCCAGCTAATTTTTTGTATTTTTTTAGTAGAGACAGGGTTTCACCATGTTAGCGAGGATGGTCTTGATCTCCTGACCTCATGACCCACCTGCCTCGGCCTCCCAAAGTGCTGGGATTACAAGCGTGAGCCACCGCGCCCGGCCGAAACTAAAATATATTCTTAAAATTTCCTCATCACCAAATGCTTTCAACATGTTTCCATTTATGGACTGTGTAAAGTAAATTCTTATGTTCAAAAATCATAAAAGGTAAAAGAACATTGTCATATTTTCCTTTCAGCAAAATCATATGGTTGCAAAATATTGTGTGGTGAAGTCCTTCTTTGTATTAGAAACTGTTCCAACTCATCTATTTTTGAGCTTGATAGAATTTATCTAGAGTATCAAAAGTGAAAACTTGTTTTACTGTCATTTTAAGAGGCTTGAGCTTCACTGTTTTCTCTTTGCATTTCTCCTCCAATTTTTCTAATAATTTTGGGGTGTCTTTATTAATTTCCTTCTTTTGCCATTATAGGCAGAAAATTAAAAATTCTGAGTTCTCAATTGATATCATGAAAGCAAAAAAAAAAAACAACAAAACAAACAAACACAGTAGCAAACAGAACTACAATATGGTGTTTTTGTTTCTATACTTCTTTTAATTTTTTACAAAAGAAAATCCAAAACCTGGGCAATCCTATAAGCACATAAGGATTAGGTAACAGTGATGATTTATATCACTTGCATAAACCTTCTACCCCAGCATTGTCCAATATAACTTTCTGTGATAATAGAGATGTTCTCTATCTCCAGATGGTAGCCAATAATCAGCTCCCTGTGGTTATCGGCAATTGAAGTGTGGGTATTGTGACTAAGGAAATGCTATTTAAATTTTACTTAATCATAATTGAATTACATTTAAATTTAAATAGCCACATGTGATTAGTTGTTACTGTGTGGACATTCCCACTCTTAAATCATTTGTATATATATCCATTTTATTCTTATGTTATTCTTTTTATCATAGTTGGGGATAATTGATGAGTTAGTGGTGAAGTAATAACTAGGTCCCTGAAGTAGCAAGATTTCTCATAATAAAAGAAACATAGTGTCACCAAAATTTCATAATGTATCTTAGATTTATAAGATGATTTAATGTTTCCATATCATAATTGCAAGGTAAGCCAATTTTTAAACCTATTTTTAAAATTAAATTGTTTCTTTTTTTTTGGAGCACCTCTAATAAAGAAAGAACACAAATTATGAAATATCATTACTTAAACATAGTTAGAACTGTTTCAAATGCACTTAAAATAATGTACCATAGAGTCAACAGTTATAAAAATGTATGGACTGGCACAGTGGTTCACGCTTGTAATCATAGCACTTTGGGAGGCCAAGGCAGATGGATCACTTGAGCTCAGGAGTTTGAAACCAGCCTGGCCAACATGGAGGAAACCACGTCTCTACAAAAAATACAAAATAATTAGCCATGAGTGGTGGCGTGTTCCTGTAGCCCAGCTACATCGGGGGCCAAAGTGGAAGGATCCCTTAAGCCCAGGAGTTTGAGGCTGCAGTGAGCCGAGATGGCACCACTGCACTCCAGCCTGGGTGACAAAATGAAACAACATCTAAAAATAAATAAATAAATAAATAAATAAATAAATAAGAATTAAAATGAACGAAAGTGCTGATGCATTTATTATCTGTATTTTTACTGCTACCTTTTGCTTCCCTTTAAGGTCTTCCTTGTGGCCCAACTTTATGATAGAGACACATTGCTTCTATGCCTCTCCTAGATACACTCAGTTTTACACACTGCCAAACATGTCTTCTTAAATATTGGTTCTTTACCTGATACAAACCCGCGAAGATTTCTTATTGCTTCTAACATAAAGTCCAAACTCTACAGCTTGACATTCAAGGCTTTTAAAATACAACCAACCCCCTATAATGCTGCTCTCAAGTACTCTTTTTCAGACAATGCATTCTATGCTTTACATTATTTCTAGATGCCTCATATATAGCCAACATTCTTTAATACAACACTTTGTTAATTTTTCCTTTGCCTTAAATCCCTTCTTTTCTTTCCCTCTAGAAAATTTCTACCAGATCAAATGCTGTGTTTTCTCTGAATTATTTTAAATGTCACTTTTCTAAGTAATCTTCTTTGCTTCTGACAAATATGTATAATCTATCCTGGCAACTCCCATACTACATCATCCAAGTACTATGGTGTCTACAATATTGAGTTTGAATTATTTTGAACTATATATAATTTATCTAATTTATTAATACTATATTCCGATGGGTTGCTATTTTTGCAGATGTATAACAGTTTTATAATAGTGGTACTGTGTCTTGTATGCACAGTGATTTATAAATATTTTTCAAATAAATAATGATTGCCACAGAAGCATTCACTAAAATCGAAAGAAATTTAACACACCGTTGAAGAAAAGTACCGGATAATTTTCAGTATTAAGAAATGTAAGTTAAATGGAAAGTGAGAATTTTACTACAGAATTACAAACGGGAAAAATAAACTAAACATCTTAGAAAAACACAATTGTACCCAGGAAAAAACGAGAATCAGATAGTGCTGGAACTGAAAGAGTCCTGTTAACCCTTGGTATTTTAACCCCACTGTTCCTATTGAGTGGTAGAACTTGAGGTGTGGATTGAGTTTGATTTACAGCTTTTCATTTCAGGAGTGTATCATAATGGCCTAACTCAGAGTATTAAGCGTTCACTTCCTTTCAGGAGTAAGCAATGATGTGAGAGAACATAAGCAATTCGTATCAATGCATACAGCGCCACAGTTCTCTAGTAGCTCCCTATCTTTTGTAACAAAGAAGACAGAGATAGATAGATAGATAGACAAATATAAAGAAAATAGGCCGGGCACAGTGGCTCACGCCTGTAATCCCAGCACTTTGGGAGGCCAAGGAGGGCAGATCATGAGGTCAGGAGATCGAGACCATCCTGGCTAACACGGTGAAACCCCGTCTCTATTAAAAATATAAAAAAATGACCGGGCGTGGTGGAAGACGCCTGTAGTCCCAGCTACTCGGGAGGCTGAGGCAGGAGAATGGCATGAACCCGGGAGGAGGAGCTTGCAGTGAGCCGAGATCATACCACTGCACTCCAGCCGGACGACAGAGTGAGGCTCTGTCTCAAAAATAAATAAATAAATAAATAAATAAATAAATAAATAAATAGAAAATAGATAATAAAGTAAATGTAAATATTTTAAAGAAAAGTATTATTGACATTTTGGGCAAGAGAATTCTGTTTGTTTTTTTGGGGGCTGGTGTGGGGCTGTCCTATGTGCTGTGGGATGTTTAGCAGCACTCCTGGCCTCTGCTCATTAGATGTTAATTGCTATTCTCCGTTCCTCTAACAAGCAAAAATATCTTCAGACATTTTCAAATATACTTAGGGGATGAAATTGTACTCAGATGAGAACCACTATTTTGAAGTAAAACAAAAGTGGCTTCACAATAGTGAGTTAGTGCATTGTCTTCTTTAGTATTAATGTTAAGTTCTGAGAGATCTTTATATGAGTGTTACCTAAATTTAGTTTGGAAACTCTTATGCAATAATATTGCGATAAGGCAAAGATTCACAAGTCTTTCATCTGCAAGACACTTTAAAATTTCTAAATTTCCGTTAGTACAAATTTGCTATCGGGAGGTTTTTTTTTTATATTATTTGTGGATGAGAAGAGTTTGTGAATAAGAAGAACCTGTTTTTATAAATGAGACAGTGGGTGTATTTTAAAAGAATATTTTTTGACTGTCAATGAGGAAAACGATGTGAGAGAGATATATGAGAGTGTACACAATATGCAGATCATATAGAGCCAAAGCCTTGGGCTGGCTGCTAATTTAACCAGATAGAGAAAGAGTTAATTCTGATGAATTTAACAGAACATAGTATGAAAAACATCAATTGCTAGTGTAGTCTAAAAGAGACTAGAAAACACAAACTCATTGAAATGTGATTAAGATTGGAGAAAAAGGGTCAAATAAATTTATCAGTGTTAACTTCACTCCTTTGAGCATGTTTCGTATTCTGTACAATGAGGAGAGCACAGAATTTTTGGTATGCTTTATAAGAGTTTGATGAGCCAATGCATACAGAGCAATTACATCAATGCGTATTATTTACCAAGTATTTGATTAATGTTTACTATTATTAGAAGATAGTTGTGACGAGTAAATTTGATTTTCTAACAAATTTAATCAGTAGTTGGAAAATATTTCAAAAGACCATTATTCATTTATTTACTCAACAATTACTTAATTGAGGTCCAGTAGTTATTCTAGGACATGAGGATAAGTCAGTGTACAAGATAAAAGATGATCTCTGCTTTGATAAGCATGCATCCTAGGAATATGCCAAACACTGAGTAGCACCGTTTAAGACTAATACCTGATCTTGAGGGACCGCAATATGAATGTCACAATGTAAAATGTTATAATGTTACAATGTTACCATTCTAGTGAAACAATGGATAGAAATGGGTACTAGCACTCTTCTTTGTGTGTCTTAGGAACTATGTAAGTGTTTGTCAAATGAATAAATGACAGTACTCATAGGAACTAATTTTGTGAACAAATAAAATTATCAATATTATAATTTTCTTTCAACCAAAGACTGTAATATAAGCAATGCAAATGACTGCTACTTTGTGTTACAAACCACTGTATTTCTTCACTCACTACATTATGCAATATAGGAGGGTACAGTAGTCTTTGGTTGTTTCTCTTACTTAGCATTTTGGCCATCATCCATAACAGGTTAAGTGTTGATTTTATATAACCTTAAATTTCTATTATACTTATTCAATTACAAAAGAAATACGTTGTTTTTTATTTTATTTTTTTCCTGATAAAACATTTAACTCAAAGCTTCTTTTTATTTATCTACAAAATCTGGTGATGGATAAATTTTGTTAAGCCAATGACGCTAAATACTTTCAAAGCTTGTGCTTTTAAGATTGTTCATAAGGTGGTTTAATAGAAGCTTCATCACAGGTCTTTTCTCTTTTAAAATCCTTGCTAAGGATATAGAAAATCCATTCTGCTGGATCAATATCTTTACTTTGATTCAAATCCTCAGTCATTCAAATGGAAAGTGAGCTATCCTTACTTCCCAAGTTCATAAAACCTTTAAATTTTTGTATAAAAGAAGAATTTTTTTTTTTTTTTTTTTGAAATGGAGTCTTGCTCTGTTGCCAGGCTGGAGTGCAATGGCACGATCTCGGCTCACTGTAACCTCCGCCTCCCGGGTTCAAGTGATTCTCCTGCCTCAGCCTCTCGAGTAGCTGGGATTACAGGCGCATGCCATCATGCCCAGCTAATTTTTGTATTTTTAGTAGAGACGGCGTTTCACCATGTTGGGCAGAATAGTCTTGATCTCCTGACCTCATGATCCGTCCACCTCGGCCTCCGAAAGTGCTGGGATTACAGGCGTGAGCCACCACGCCCAGTCAAAAGAAGAAAAACCTTTTGTCCATAAATCTAGCTTTTGAAAGTAATTGTGTTTCTTCCTAAATAAGCCCCAGAATATGTCAGACAAAGGTAAAGCAATAAAAAAAAAATCTAGGAAAACAATGGGGCTTTCCACATTTAAACATTTTATAGACATTCTAAAGAATATTTTTTGTTTCTACAAAAGTCTTAGAGCATTTTGCTTTTAAAATATCTGCGTATTTTAGTTGGATACTTACAAGTACTGAAAAATTATTTGTTAATGATTGAATATATGCCTATCTTTACACACTTGTACAAAACTTCAGTTTTTTTGCATTTTGAACAAAACATTCATTTATTTACACAACACTTAAAGAGCTCTTACAATTTACTAAGCATGAGATATAAGGACACACAATCGAGTAAGTTAATATATTAGATTTTGAGTGCTCAAAATGTGGATATATTACAAATATACATTATGTACATTCATGTATATTTAATAAATACAACGTTGAAAGGACCAATTTTTTAAAGGCATTTTAAAACTGCGTGAAAATTGCTAGTTTGCAAAAAATATCTGAGTTTCACATACAGGACAAAACTAGAATAAATAGCAGTCGTATTAATGCATTTTTTCTAACCCCCTTTTAAACTATTACTAATTGGTACAATACAATACATTATATCAGTAAATTAAAAACAGAACATCATACACATCTCCAATGTATTGAACCAAAAGAGTCATTCTGTCTTGTGAAATAGTAGAGCAGGAATAAATGTAACACACCTTGCTCCTACAGAGGAAAATAGAGGAATTATTTCTACAGTAAGTCTGGAATTACTGTTTAAGTAAAATTTGGTTTAGAAAATATTCCCAATTTCAATCATTTGAAATATGTTTAAAATGAACAACTATGAACCAGAAGAAAATCTATAATTAACTTATAAAACATATTCACAGAAAAAATACAAACTTTTTTTTCTAAATCTAGTAGATAACTTGGCAAAAGCATGTAAGGAAAAGTTTGGATGATGCACTATTTACTTCATTACTATTCATATCTGGGTCAGTAAAAAGTGGAGTAACATATTAAGTGCATAAATTTAAGATTATTTTAGAAAACCGTTTACATGTAATCTATTATGCATTGTGCCAGTCCTGACAATCCATTCATTTTGATATGTAACAAAATAAATAATAGAGAGAAATATGTTTACATCAGAGTCTCACACATTAATATAAATAGTTTGAAGACATCCTGGAAAGTGAAGACTTTCAAAATTAACTCAGTTTTTGAGATGACTACTTTTCTGTTCTTTGGTTAGCTAACAAAGTATAGTAGTTCTAAACGCATTTACAAGCATTATTTCTAGAATATTATTGATATCTTACTAAAATGTTTTTAGGATAACATTGCTTAATCAATTCTCTTATGTATGATAAAGTGTCTGATGAAAATAAATAGAAATAATAATGACATAGATCTTTATCAAAACCAAAATTACTTCCTGCTATTAAAAACAATTATTCGAGAGTCAAGTTTAAGATAATAACCTCATTACTGTAGTACTTGTGGTTAATAAAAAGGCATTTAGTGAGTATTACTAAAATGGCATGTTTAAAGAGGAATAATTTATATCATGGAAATATAAACTAGCTTTGGCTGAATAATTAAATAAATGTCTTCACAATTGAGTACTACCTCTGCCAAAATCAGATGAGTAAAAAATAGTTTACACATGTAGTACTTGCATTAAAAAGAAATTGGTATTTTTAACAACATAGAAAATTGTTACCTAATGATATCCAATGCAGATTATTTGTAACAGAGAGTGTGCAATATACATTTAAAAAATTTTTCTTTTTTTAAAACTTTCTATGGGTACATAATTGGTGTATATATTTATGGGGTACATGAGATGTTTTGATACAGGCATGCAAAACGAAATAAGCACATCATGAAGAATGGGTTATCTATCCCCTCAAGCATTTATTCTTTGAGTTACAAACAGTCCAATTACCTTCTGTAACTTATTTTAAAATATATAGTTAAATTACTATTGACTATAGTCACTTCCTTGTGCTATCAAATAGTAGGTCTTGTTCATTCTTTCTAATTTTTTTCTCGTACTCCTTAACCATTCCTACCTCCCTCTCAAACCCCCAGTACCCTTCTGAGCCTTTGGTAACCATCCTTCTACTCTCTATGATTACGAGTTGAATTGATTTGATTTTTATATCTCACAAATAAATGAGAACATGTGATGTTTGTGTTTCTGTGCCTCGCTTATTTCACAAAACAAAATGATCTCCAGTTCCATCCATGTTGTTAAAAATGACTGGATCTCATTCTTTTTATGGTTGAATAGTACTCCACATTAAATTAAATATGAACTAAGATTAAAAGTTAATCTAAGGTTTGCAACTTAAATATTTAAGATTAATTATATGTTAATTAATTAATATATTAATAATTATATTACTTAATAATTAAATGTTAATTAATTAATAGTTCAGATTAATTATAATGTTAATCTTGTTAATGTACCTTCTAAACATCAGGCACCAATAAATTTCATTTAAGCATTTAAAAATATTTTAGAATAGTATACCAAAATGATGATAAGATATATCACAAATTTTATTGCTGGCCATGCATGGTAGCTCACACCTGTAATCCCAGCACTTTTGGAGGCCAAGGTGGGAGGATCACGTGAGGCCAGGAGTTCGAGACCAGCCTGGGCAACACAGTGAGACTCCATCTCTTCAAAAATGGAAGAAAGAAAGAAGAAAGAAAGTAAGAAAGAGATAAAGAGAGAAAAAGAAAGAGAGAGCAAGAGAAAGAAAATTAGCCAGGCATGGTGGAGCACACCTGTGGTCCCAGCTACTTACTAGACTGAGGCTGCAGGATCGATCATGTGAGCCCAGGAGGCCGAGGCTGCAGTGAGCTGTGATCACACCCCTGCAATCCAGCCTCGGGGACAGAGTGAGACCTTGTCTGAAAAAAAAGAAAATAAAAAGAATATTACTTCCACTTATTTAACAATTATTTATTAAGCACACACTTTGTTTAAACACTATGCAAGACATGGAGGATATATCAACTACTTTTAAAAAGAACATTACACAAAGGTGAAAAAAGGAACATGCAGCAATGGTATCTGATCAGATTTGAAGGTAATGAATGATTGCCCTTAGCAAAAGCATTTGAATTAAGATTTTAAAAATACGTAAGAATTAAATAAGCAAGGAATCTCTCCAAAATGGAGCATTTCTGATAATTTGTATGAAGGCAAAATGAAACACATTTATTAAAGAACTTGATAAAAATAAAATTGGCTGGAATTCAAATAATAAAATAGAACATTAGAAGACAAGAACATAAATGATACAGGTTATGCAGGACTTAAATTTAAAATCATTAAATTTTAAAATTTAAAATTATTTTAAATTTTTATTTTAAATTTATTAATTATTAAAATTATTAAATGGTTTAATAATTTTTAAGAGAAAAGATTAATTATGAAAGGTTTTAAGTAGTAAGTTGATGTGATCAGATTTATGTTTTGAGAAGACAATTTTGTTTCGTTATCAGAGTAAGATTTAAAGGGTTAAAATTTTGACATAAAGGAGACCATTTACTATTTTGGCAAACTAGATTAAAATAGTGGCTGTGGAACTATGAAAAAGTAGTGAATTAATTTGAAAATTATTTAGAAGATAAATTAACAAGAGTTCATGGGTAATTGATTATGGAAAAAAACAAAGAAACGAGGTATCGGGTGTATGTCACTGCGTGGATGCTAGTGGTATCTATAGAAATAGAGCTCTCTGAAGGAGAAACGTTGGGGAAAGATTGGAGACTGAGTTCATTTTGAATACGTCAAATGTGCCAAGCCTTTTAGATATCCAAGTGAACATGCCACATAGGTGTTGCACATAAATAAGCTTGTGAAGCAGAACTGCACTAGGATATAAATCCATGAGTGATTGGTAAGTAAATGGAAACTAAAGATAAGAGTGAGGCTTAAAAGACCTAGAGAAATTCATCAAAGAACAGAATTTGAATCCCATTCACCCTGATCTTAAACATGTAAAGGCTACATAGAAAAATACCACCCAACAGAATCTGAGAAAATGTAGCCAGGGACCTAAGAGTTGAACCAGGAGTATATGTGTGGCAGGGAGGGGGTTGAGGAACAGATGAAACATAGGTATTTGTCAAGGAAATCTAGGGAAGATAATTATTTAAATCTCCATTTTAAAATTATCTTTACATAAATTCTGTTTTTGTGTGTGTGTGTTTCCTTATTTATATGGAAAGATAGGTCTTAGAAACAGGAGCTAATCAACACTTTGAATAATTTTGAAGTCAAATAAATGAATACTGTCTTACATCTCTTGATTTTTAGTAACTTAGAGCTTATTTAGGTTATTCCTGAGAGTTGTATGGAAATATGTGTTAAGTATATTATCTGCTTTGGCGTTTGCTTATAATGGAAATTCTGTGTGTCAGATCTAAAGGGAATGCTGAATCATACTTCAAGGGAACATTTGTTACACAGATTCTCGCCTCTCCTGTACTGCTTAAACTAAACAGGCAGAGCAAAGCCACATTGTGCGTTCCTCTTTTCTCACAGCTGCCTGCCACTATGTAATTTACCTTAGTGAAGCAGATCCTGGTGGTGACCTTCCATTTCCCTTTGGCACATACTATTTTTGTGTACTGACAAGGGCAAAAGTGCCTAGGAAATAACACCTCCTCACCAACCTCCTCCACCCCCACCCTCAGGAGCAGTCCTCAACCAAAGAGGATAACTAATAAATAAATATTCCATCAATAGTCCTGTGTCTTGCCCATCAAGTAAGGTAACTCAGAGTCATGTCCTCCACTCACTCTCGGTTCCACAGTGGAATTGAATTCAATTTGCTTTGCTCATAGTGTAATCTGCTCAATAACACAGGCTTCATTTACTTCCTTCCCTTCCTGTCTCACTTCTCAAGGCTTCCTGAGATTACCACCTGGCACATTCCCCGCTCAATAAAAGACAGCCTCAGGGTCTCTTTGTTAGGATATTGGACACCATGTTAGGGTTCTCCGGAGACATGGAGCCAATAGGCTGTACATACATATAAAAGGAGATTTATTGTGAGGAATTGTCCATGTGATTATGGAGGTGAAATCCCAAGATATGCAAAGTGAGTCAGCGAGCTGGAAGACCAAGAGTACCAATGGTTTAGTTCCACTCTGAGTCTAATGGCCTGAGAACGAAGAGAATTGATGATATAGTTCCAGTCCAAAGGTCTCAGGATCCAGACCCAGAAAGACCCAAGGTTTCCATTCTATTCTAAAGGCAGGAAAAAAGTCAACATTGCAGTTCAAACGACATCAGGCAGGAAGATTTATTTTCTACTTGGAGGAGGAGCAGCCTTTTAATTTTATTTAGTCTTTCAAGAGATTGGATGAGGCCCTTTCATATCATGGAATGCCATCTGCTCTACTCAGTCTACCAACTTTAATGTTAATCTCCTCCAAAAAACATCCTCGCATTAACACTCAGAATAATGTTTGGTCAAATAGCTGGACTCCCCAAGGCACAGTCAAACTGACACACAAAATTAAACATCACAGACACCCATGTTAACATAATTCTGTCTCCCAAAATTATACATTTCTGATCTTTCACCTCAAACTTTTTCCATGAAAACTAAACTCTTCTTTATAATATGTCATGGGGAAAATAAATGTTGCTATATGTATGTTTAGTTAGAGGTCAAAAGACCATAGGCCTCAGTTTGACCAGAACAGTCTGGTTCACAACTGTCATCTTCATAATTATTAATATTTTCTCTTTTTCTTTTAAAAATGTCCTGCTCTGGAGATGAAATTATATGGTTATCCTAGTCAATAACTGATTCCATAGATGTGCTGATAATGGAAAAAATTAATAAAGTATGTTTAAATCTGATATTCAATTTTTTTCTTCTATCAGTTAAAAAAGTATGATGAATGTGTATCATATTTTTTCAGATTAATTTTTCTTCCTAAGTCATTTTACACCACAAGTATTTACTGTGATGTATTTTGAATGTTTATTTGCAACCAGAATGTTATTTTTAATTGTCTTCAATGCATTCTCTTGTTTAAGGAATTAAAGGAGAATGCATTTGAAAAGCATACATAATTTTAAAGTATGATATAAACTATTACATTTTATTTTATACTTTATTATTCTATATAGGAGAAATCTAAATAATATTTTCCTTAGATAAGGTAACTCACCTGAAAATTACACAATCGGTAGTAACTCATTTAACTGGCTCTAAAATCAAAGAATGTATATAATAACAGTGCAGATCAGTCCTTCTGTTACAGCTAAGAAGGGAAGAGTGAGAATAATTGTGATCTTCTGGAGAGTTCAGAGCCTATTTTGTTTATTGTAGAGAATGTGAAGATAAGAGGAGAAGACAATTTCACATTGACTGTGGGCCAGACAATGCCAGGACTAGCAAAGCCTCATAAAGAAAGAATGTGTTAATATCGTCTCTTTTTTGAGCTTATTTTCCATTTTTTCTATGAAATATGTTACCTTTGTGTTGATTAAGGAATATTGTATGTCATTCAAGTTATACATATAAATGTCTTGAAGTATTCTTTAATTCTCACTAGGGATGATTTATTGTTAAATGGAAATAAATAATTTTCTAACAAACATGCAGTAGCACATATAACAAATGTTAACTTTTAATAAAATCATAAATGCTATTGGAAGTGACTCACTAACTGTACTTCTGTACTTCAGAGCAAGCGGCATGTGCCCAGTGCTGCATCATTGCATTTTGAAAAGATTCTGCATAATACTTGTGAGACAGTAATTGAGCTTGAGTTCATTGTGGGTTCCTTATTGTGAGTCCCTGGTATTCCTGTAACAATGAAAGTGTTGTTATTCAGATGCACATAAATGCATTCAGCCCATAATAATAGTATTCATAGCCATCTATAAATAGTTTAAGAAACAATTGTATGAAATGCTTGATATTCATCTCAACCACATTTTGCAATTTCTCTTTTAAATTCAGATTTCAGAAATAATACAACAGTGGTGCTCAGGAGATATTTAGATATTTTTGTTAGCTTTGCATGGACAGGTTGTTAGCTTTTTAAATCACACACCTTATTTTACCAAATCTAAGAAATCCTTTATAAATATACACAATTATAAATAATATATAAGAAATGCTGAACACACAGCATGATGCACAGTTATTAAATATCTAGTTTTGTATGTGTTTAATTACCTTTCTTAATATTCTTTTATTTCTAGATACACCATCAGTTAAGATTATACCATCGACTCCTTTTCCACAAGAAGGACAGCCTTTAATTTTGACTTGTGAATCCAAAGGAAAACCACTGTAAGTGAGTTAATGAGCAATAAAGCTTTTAACTTTTTTTCTTTTATCTTGCTTTGATTACAGCCTTTAACTGTAGAAATCCACAGTTTGTGTCTTTTCTTGGTGGGCAAAGTGATCTCTAGAACAGAAAACCTCATGAACCATGTCTTCATTAAGGTCTATGGAAGATTGGTTTTTACTTTGTCATCTAGTGAAGTTTCTGGGAAGATTTCCAGCTGTTATTTCTTTTTGTATTTTTTCCAGTAAGATATTTTAACCTGAATGGAGTATATCAGTCACTGTTCATATCATCAGAGTATAAAAGCAGCACACCGTTGAATTCAGTTCTCCCATGAAAAACTTAGAAAATATTGAAGCATCCCCAAAATACGCCCAAGTTTTAAAGTTACAAGAAGACTCATTTTCATAAAAGGAAAATCGAATCTATATTTCTTATGAAACACCCAATGAAACAAGTAATGGGTCACAAACTCAATGTGTTTAATTGTAAAGTAATTTCAATATTAGAATATATGCACGTCAATGTGATAATGTCACTTCAACTCTAAAACTTCACCTTTTGAAATTTGTGTTTATAAATAGCTAGTCAAGGAATACCAATTATTAAGCAAAACTTACATATGGATATTTAATTATGGATTATTTAAATTCTATTTGAAAGCAATATGATCATTCTAATACAGGAACACTCTAGGCCTAGCTTTATGTAATTTACTTGATTTGTTAAAAGATTCCAATTTATTTTAATTCTGTTTAAATTTTAATAGAAGGAATTAAATTGTTCTTTGTATATAACTATATGAGATTGCTTCTGGCAAATCAGGTTAAATTGCTAAAAATTTGTCTCCAATAACATTTATATTATTTAAGTTTCATACTATCCCATGGAGAATGTTTCTAAAAGAATTGTAAGATAGATGCCTGGCACTTTAACTTCATAAATTGTATGTCATTATATTTTTTACCATATTAATAAATCCATGCCTTATTTACCACAGTTTTGATATTTTTAAACTGTTCTCTCTTCTAGTAATTATTTTAAAGAGATTGTTTTTGGTCTTCTTTCCTTCAGATTTATCCAAAAGTACATTTGTATACATTTGGATTATGTGCACAATTTATGCAATTAAACAAGGTGAAGTTAGGGAATATGCTTTATAGAATGCTTGAAAATAAATGAATGCCTGCTCAAGTAGCATCCAATTGTCTTACAACGATTCTTTGATTCCATATCTACTTCCAACAGTAGAAACATTATTTTACTTATGGAAATTATTAGACTTTATGTTTTATATAATTAAATATTTAAGTAGTTCATATAACTCATCTAAGATATGGTTGAATGAATGTGCCTTCTTTTAATCTCTTTTCAGTTACCTAGAAATAATCTTGGATGTGTAATAATCCTCTGCACTGCAGATGAATGAAAAGCACAATAATTTCTTATTTATTTTATTTAAGAATACAAATTTCAAGAGATTTATGAAATGCAAAATATTACCTTTCTCAGAAGGATCCTGATTACTATCATTTTGCAAATAGATAAAGGAAATAAGAAAGGCTCCCTATTTTACGGAAGAGAAACTAAGGCTCAAAACTTTTCACTAAATTTTCCTATTTATCCAGATTTAAAATGAGTGAGAATTTGAATTCAGTTCAGTCTTGCCCAAAGCCTTAACTCTTTCTATTATGTGCTGCTACTTCAATTGCTAAATGTAAATTTCCACTTATTCTAGCTAAAGTTACTTTTGAAAAACTAGAATAGGACTGACAATAATTTTCATCACTGAAGTTGAAGCCCTAGATGCTTTAGGGCAGTGAACTGGCTAGTCTCATGATATGTTTCACTGTTGCCATCCTCCTTTATTAGGCTTTCTTCTATATTTATATTATTTCTGGAAACTTGTCAAATTTCTACCAAACTAGTCGTTTCTGGCATGAGTTCTTAACCATATAAAAATCTGTAATTTAATGTAGTGTGTTCTGGCAAATAACTCATGAGCTCCACAACGTCTTCAAAGTAAAGTAGTCATTATATGTTGCGTTTATCTTCATAAATCCCAGTGTTATATTCTGTATGCTATGGTCCACAAGTAAATATGTATTAACTGATTTCTTGTATTATATTCTCATTCACAACTTTCCCTTTATCATATTTCCTTGCAGACTGTCAGGACATTAGCATTAAAGTTAGAATCAACTTCTTTGATGCCTTTCTTCATTTGGACTATTGCTTCTTCTTCGTTCTTCTAATCATCTTAAATAAACTTCTCTATATTTTTACAGTAACTGTCTTCTCCATTAGATGAAGGCATTAATCTCTTTAAAAACAGTCTAATTTTTAGCCTTTCTGTAGTTTATATACTATTTCCAACAGTGCCAGATGAGGCAGAAAGGACAAAAAACAAGACAAGACTGAAATAATTGGATTTTCCCAGAAGGAAATCTTACTGATCGTAAAGAAAAGTCTTACCAGAGTAAAAAGAACAGGATGCAAATTGAAACGGTTTAATCAGGGAGTTAGTAGGTAGTAGGGAAGTGAAGACAGCCACTAAAGGAAAGACTATCAACTTCAAAAAATGAATCAAAAAGTGGAAGAGGGATGAGAAAAAATTCTGTCAAACATATTTTAAAATAAAACATAATAATAGCAACACATATAATGGGGAGTCTTGCATATTTTAAGATAGCCATACAAGAGTGGGAGTGAAAATGAAATATGTGATATACTCAATCAGCAGGTTAGAATTCCCTGTTTTACTCAGGTAATCGTTGTCAAAGTTCTACTCCATTATTTTGCAACTATTGTACCTGTATCTTCATTTTGTTATTTAAGAACCACTGAGAAGCAATACTATAGCTTAGTATTAAGTAAGCTTAGTATATAAGCTTACTTAGTATACTTAATGTACTAAGTATAGCTTAGTATAAGTAAGCACTTAATTTTTATCATCTTTATCATTTATCTGATCCACTTCTCATTAACATGTGAAAATCAGGAATGAATAGTGGCTATATGATTTCTTTATATCTTGTAGCTGTCTTCAATAATACATTTAATCTGTGGTCAAAACTTCATTGTTTCTTAAAAAGTATTTAACTAGTACGTTTTGAAGAATGAGTTATTCAGAGTAATTAGGTATATTGGTAGTAGGCAAAATCACACCACTATCTTTTGTGTAAATCACAACATCATGGCATGGCTCAAGTTGCACTGAGCCTGGTGTTCCGAACCTGCCCTTCTTTATGCTAATGTTGTTTTCCTTGTTCTAAATGTGAGGGCCCCAGTGACTGTTTATGAACAATCATGCCTATTTGCCTGCTTTGGACTGAAGCCTTTTGCCATTTTCCTGTGAAACAGCTGCATAACTTGGGCCAGGACCAAATTGTTCCACTTGACACTACTATAGAAGCATTCTATTCTTTCCTTAAAAGAGAGATTACTGTACATGTCTGTCCATTGTTTTAATTTTAGTTTAAAGTGAGGACCGAGCTAATGCCAGCCACTTTTCTTTCAAGTCCCCAGAGTTTTTGCAACCCTCTTCTTTCTTTGGCTGAATTCCCAGACAGCTTTCAGGCAGCAGCATTCTCCATTTTAAAAGTAAACGAAAACACACACACACACACACACACACACACACACACAACATGAAACCTTTATATTACATTAAAGTCATGACCTTAAATGGTGTGAGGTTGCCCCCAACACGCTGTAAATAATGAGTCATCATTCATTTTAATCGAATGTGTAAGGCTGTTTAAATTCACCTCCAAAAAAGTGATGCGACATTTTCAGTGAGATAAATATGTATTTGGCATCTATTCTGTAAAAGAAAATAATTATAGGTATTGATAAGTTTTTCTATGTATCCAGCACAATGTTTATGCTGTACTTACTATTTTACTTTCTGGTAACCACAATTTTTCTTTTGTTCTTGCCATAAATCTAGTATGCATAATTGCACAGCACATAACATTCCAATTCTATAAAAGAAGAAAGAATTTAATCTTTAGGAAGACAGATCACATACTATATAGCAACTAGTGAGGTGTTTTAGAGAAATAATTACACATCTATTTTTGAAATGATCAGGAATTAAAGAACTCTGATATGTATATATTAATGTATTTTTCTATTAGGATAATAGAGAATTTTTAACAACAACAAAAAAAAAACAGACAAAAGCCTGGGTGCTCACACCTGTAATCCCAGCACTTTGGGAGATGGAGGCAGGAGGATCATCTGAGGTCAGGAGTTCAAGACCAGCCTGGGCAATATGGTGAAACCCCATCTCTACTAAAAATACAAAAAAAAAAAAAAAAAAAAAAAAAATAGCCGGGCGTGGTGGTGGGCGCCTGTAATCCCAGCTACTGGGGAGGTTGAGCAAGGAGAATTGCTTGAACCTGGGAGGTGGAAGTTGCAGTGAGCCGAGATCACGCCATTGAACTCCAGACTGGGCAACAAGAGCAAAACTCCATCCAAAAAAAATTACAGCAAAACAGTTTTATATAAAGTCAATTTTCTTAGCCTAACATGTACCTTTTTACAAATCACAGGTTATTTGCTAATCATTATACAGTGCAATTACCATCAGACGAAATGACAAAATAAACTACGAATCAAAGAAAGCAAGTTATCATCTAGAGTGAAATATTGTTTACCAAAATAAGATAAAATATGTACTTTAAAATAATATTAATCTATAATAGCAATGTTAAATTATTTGGCCTAATATATAGCAGTTGTTATTACAGAATATTTACCGCTCTCCTGCTATATAGAAAACCTCTAATTAATCATTGAGATCTGTATGTTATTTTCAAATAGGATGCCTAAGGTGTCATACTTTGAGGCACAAAATGTTTGGAGGTATTGTAGAAAGAGAATGCAGACCTGGGTTTAAATTATAAATCTGCGGATATTAGTGGCCTGAGTAATCCTGAGCAAATCACTTAACCACACTGAGTATTTTTTTTCCTTTTTTTAAATTGATGAACTTTATTTTTAGAGCAGTTTTAGGTTCACAGCAAAATTGAGTGGAAAGTACAAAGATTTCTCCTATACCCCCGTCCTCACCCACTGATAGCCTTCCTCAGTATTGACATGCTATACCAAAATGTTACATTTGTTGTAATCAATGTACCTACACTGACCCATCATTACGACACCAAAGTCCAATGTTTACATTAGGGTTCACTCTTACACATCAAGTAGTTTTATCTCTAAAATGAAGAACACAAAATTTATCAAACAGATTGTTTTAATAATGACAGTGTATATGAAATGTCGGCCTCCAAGTAATTGTATAATACATCATAACAATGAGGGTGATAAATTATTACTTGATCAAGGAAATACATACAGTGTATCTCAGCAAGTTTCCAACTCAGAAGTCTTACTTATATATTTAATACACATGCTAATATTAGGCTATTATGGCAACTCTGACAACTGAGTTATCATCTCACATATATTCTCAGGCAATGGAATCCAAGATTTCAAGCAAAATAAACACATTTCAGGACAGTGGGTCTGTATTTTCAAAAACATATTTAAACAGCAAAGGAATCCAGACCGAAGTCATGGCAAAACTGATACAGCAACTTCGATATTTTATTTGAAGTTAAATAATAATAGTTATAAATTAGAGAGAAGAGAGGCAGTGTCATGAACCTCAGTTGGGGTAAAATCCAAAATAGTTAAAACGAGACACTGGAAAATCCTGAGCCACAGGAAAAGCCCCTTCTCTAATTTACCTTAATTTAAGGTAGGACAAGTTTAGATCAATTTGCAAGGAACAGAAGGAATTAAGATTGAGTTTTAGTTTGATGCGTGTGGGAAAAGCTACACTCTGAAGCAGTTTTATTGAGTGAAAGGGACTAAGTAGTTAGCAAGTTTTGACAAAGAACAAATGCAGATCTGGAAGGCCTTAAAGAACCCAAACTAAGTAGATGGCTTGGCTCAGGAGTGGTGAGGAATCCAGGGTCAGTGATACATAAGACCTTGTTTTGGCATAGTTTTTCATAATTTTCTCTCATGCATAAATGTTTAATTTAAATCACACAACTATTACATTGTAAAAGGTTTACAAAGACTGCTGTAATCGTTTCAATTTTTTAGGTGAAGAAAAATAAGTCTTGTTCAAGTTATATGATCTTTCCCAGTAACACAGCTGATAAATGGTAGAATTGGGATTACAAACAAGTTTCCCTTTTGTATTAACAACAATGATGATTGTATTTTTTTGTTTACCCAGTGTTTTTTAGCATTGATGTTTTTCACAATAACTCAATAAAGTTGGCAAACATTGAAGAGTTCTAAAAAATTGCTAGGACAGCCCATATTTCAATCAAATAGTTGTTAAAAAAAATACCACCAGGCCTGCCCTACAAGAGCTCCTGAAGGAAGCACTAAACATGGACAAGAACAACTGGTACCAGCCACTGCAAAACCATGCCAAATTGTTTTTTTTTGTTTGTTTGTTTTTTATTATACCTTAAGTTCTAGGGTACATGTGCATATTGTGCAGGTTAGTTACATATATATAAATGTGCCATGCTGGTGCGCTGCACCCACTAACTTGTCATCTAGCATTAGGTATATCTCCCAGTGCTATCCCTCCCCCCTCCCCCCACCCCACAACAGTCCCCAGAGTGTGATATTCCCCTTCCTGTGTCCATGTGATCTCATTGTTCAATTCCCACCTATGAGTGAGAATATGCGGTGTATGTTTTTTTGTTCTTGCGATAGTTTACTGAGAATGATGATTTCCAGTTTCATCCATGTCCCTACAAAGGACATGAACTCATCATTTTTTATGGCTGCATAGTATTCCATGGTGTATATGTGCCACATTTTCTTAATCCAGTCTATCATTGTTGGACATTTGGGTTGGTTCCAAGTCTTTGCTATTGTGAATAATGTCGCAGTAAACATACGTGTGCATGTGTCTTTATAGCAGCATAATTTATAGTCCTTTGGGTATATACCCAGTAATGGGATGGCTGGGTCAAATGGTATTTCCAGTTCTAGATCCCTGAGGAATCGCCACACCGACTTCCACAATGGTTGAACTAGTTCACAGTCCCACCAACAGTGTAAAAGTGTTCCTATTTCTTCACATCCTCTCCAGCACCTGTTGTTTCCTGACTTTTTAATGATTCCCATTCTAACTGGTGTGAGATGGTATCTCATTGTAGTTTTGATTTGCATTTCTCTGATGGCCAGTGAAGATGAACATTTTTTCATGTGTTTTTTGGCTGCATAAATGTCTTCTTTTGAGAAGTGTCTGTTCATGTCCTTCACCCACTTTTTGATGGGGTTGTTTGTTTTTTTCTTGTAAATTTGTTTGAGTTCATTGTAGATTCTGGATATTAGCCCTTTGTCAGATGAGTAGGTTGCAAAAATTTTCTCCCATTTTGTAGGTTGCCTGTTCAGTCTGATGGTAGTTTCTTTTGCTGTGCAGAAGGTCTTTAGTTTAATTAGATCCCATTTGTCAATTTTGGCTTTTGTTGCCATTGCTTTTGGTGTTTTAGACATGAAGTCCTTGCCCATGCCTATGTCCTGAATGGTAAAGCCTAGGTTTTCTTCTAGGGTTTTTATGGTTTTAGGTCTAACGTTTAAGTCTTTAATCCATCTTGAATTGATTTTTGTATAAGGTGTAAGGAAGGGATCCAGTTTCAGCTTTCTACATATGGCTAGCCAGTTTTCCCAGCACCATTTATTAAATAGAGTCAATCCTAAGACAAAAGAACAAAGCTGGAGGCATCACGCTACCTGACTTCAAACTATACTACAAGGCTACAGTACCCAAAACAGCATGGTACTGGTACCAAAACAGAGATATAGATCAATGGAACCAAACAGAGCCCTCAGAAATAACGCCGCATATCTACAACTATCTGATCTTTGACAAACCTGAGAAAAACAAGCAATGGGGAAAGGATTCCCTATTTAACCATGCCAAATTGTAAAGACCATTGATGCTAAGTAGAAACTGCATCAACTAACGAGCAAAATAACCAGCTAACATCAAAATGACAGGATCAAATTCACACATAACAATATTAACCTTAAATGCAAATGGGCTAAATGCTCTAATTAAAATACACACACTGGCAAATTGGATAAACAGTCAAGACCTATCAGTGTGCTGTATTCAGGAAACCCATCTCACCTATAGAGACACACATAGGCTCAAAATAAAGGGATGGAGGAAGATCTACCAAGCAAATGAAAAACGAAAAATGGCAGGGTTGCAATCTTAGTCTCTGATAAAACAGACTTTAAACCAACAAAGATCAAAAGAGACAAAAAAGGCCGTTACGTAATGGTAAAGGGATCAATTCGACAACAAGAGCGAACTATCCTAAATATATATGCGCCCAATACAGGAGCACCCAGATTCATAAAGCAAATCCTTAGAGACCTGCAAAGAGACTTAGACTCCCACACAATAATAATGGGAGGCTTTAACACCCCACTGTCAACATTAGACAGATCAACGAAACAGAAAGTTAACAGGGATATCCAGGAATTGAATTCAGCTCTGCACCAAGGAGACCTAATAGAAATCTACAGAACTCTCCACTCCAAATCAACAGAATATATATTCTTTTCAGCACCACAGCACACCTATTCCAAAATTGACCACAGAGTTGGAAGTAAAGCACTCCTCAGCAAATGTAAAATAATAGAAATTATAACAAACTGTCTGTCAGACCACAGTGCAGTCAAACTAGAACTCAGGATTAAGAAACTCACTCAAAACTGCTCAACTACATGGAAACTGAACAAACAACCTGCTCCTGAATGACTACTGGGTACATAATGAAATGAAGGCAGAAATAAAGATGTTCTTTGAAACCAACGAGAACAAAGACACAACATACCAGAATATCTGGGACACATTTAAAACATGTGTGTAGAGGGAAATTTATAGCACTAAAGGCCCACAAGACAAAGTAGGAAAGATCTAAAATTGACACCCTAATATCACAATTAAAAGAACTAGAGAAGCAAGAGCAAACACATTCAAAAGCTAGCAGAAGGCAAGAAATAACTAAGATCAGAGCAGAACTGAAGGAAATAGAGACACAAAAAACCCTTCAAAAAATCGGTGAATCCAGGAGCTGGTTTTTTCAAGAGATCAACAAAATAAATAGACCGCTAGCAAGACTAATAAAGAAGAAAAGTGAGAAGAATCAAATAGATGCAATAAAAAATGATAAAGGGGATATCACCACCGATCCCACAGAAATACAAACTACCATCAGAGAATTCTATAAACACCTCTACGCAAATAAATTAGAAAATCTAGAAGAAATGGATAAATTCCTCGACACATACACCCTCCCAAGACTAAACCAGGAAGAAGTTGAATCTCTGAATAGACCAATAACAGGCTCTGAAATTGAGGCAATAATTAAGAGCTTACCAACAAAAAAAAGTCCCAGACCAGACGGTTTCACAGCCGAATTCTACCAGAGGTACAAGGAGGAGCTGGTACTATTCCTTCTGAAACTATTCCAATCAATAGAAAAAGAGGGAATCCTCCCCAACTCGTTTTATGAGGCCAGCATCATCCTGATACCAAAGCCGGGCAGAGACATAACCAAAAAAGAGAATTTTAGACCCATATCCCTGATGAAAATCAATGCAAAAATCCTCAATAAAATACTGGCAAACCAAATCCAGCAGCACAACAAAAAGCTTATCTACCATGATCAAGTGGGCTTCATCCCTGGGATGCAAGACTGGTTCAACATATGAAAATCAGTAAATGTAATCCAGCATATAAACAGAACCAAAGACAAAAACCACGTGATTATCTCAATAGATGCAGAAAAGGCCTTTGATAAAATTCAACAGCCCTTCATGCTAAAAACTCTCAATAAATTAGGTATTGATGGGACGTATCTCAAAATAATAAGAGCTATTTATGACAAAACCACAGCCAATATCATACTGAATGGGCAAAAACTGGAAGCATTCCCTTTGAAAACTGGCACAAGACAGGGATGCCCTCTCTCACCACTCCTATTCAACATAGTGTTGGAAGTTCTGGCCAGGGCAATCAGGCAGGAGAAAGAAATAAAGGGTATTCAGTTAGGAAAAGAGGAAGTCAAATTGTCCCTGTTTGCAGACGACATGATTGTATATCTAGAAAACCCCATCATCTGAGCCCAAAATCTCTTTAAGCTGATAAGCAACTTCAGCAAAGTCTCAGGATACAAAATCAATGTACAAAAATCACAAGCATTCTTATATACCAATAACAGACAAACAGAGAGCCAAATCATGAGTGAACTCCCATTCACAATTGCTTCAAAAAGAATAAAATACCTAGGAATCCAACTTACAAGGGATGTGAAGGACCTCTTCAAGGAGAACTACAAACCACTGCTCAACTAAATAAAAGAGGACACAATCAAATGGAGGAACATTCCATGCTCATAAACAGGAAGAATCAATATGGTGAAAATGGCCATACTGCCCAAGGTAATTTATAGATTCAATGCCATCCCCATCAAGCTACCAATGACTTTCTTCACAGAATTGGAAAAAACTACTTTAAAGTTCATATGGAACCAAAAAAGAGCCCGCATCGCCAAGTCAAGCCAAAAGAACAAGGCTGGAGGCATCATGCTACTTGACTTCAAACTATACTACAAAGCTACAGTAACCAAAACAGCATGGTACTGGTACCAAAACAGCATGGTACTGGTACCAAAACAGAGATATAGACCAATGGAACAGAACAGAGCCCTCAGAGATAATACCTCACATCTACAACTATCTGATCTTTGACAAACCTGACAAAAACAAGCAATGGGGAAAGGATTCCCTATTTAACAAATAGTGCTGGGAAAACTGGCTAGCCATATGTAGAAAGCTGAAATTGGATCCCTTCCTTACACCTTATACAAAAATCAATTCAAGATGGATTAAAGACTTAAACGTTAGACCTAAAACCATAAAAACCCTAGAAGAAAACCTAGGCAATACCATTCAGGACATAGGCACATGCCAGGACTTCATGTCTAAAACACCAAAAGCAATAGCAGCAAAAGCCAAAATTGATAAATGAGATATAATTAAACTAAAGAGCTTCTGCACAGCAAAAGAAACTACCATCAGAGTGAACAGGCTACCTAAAGAATGGGAGAAAATTTTTGCAATCTACTCATCTGGCAAATGGCTAATATCCAGAATCTACAATGAACTCAAACAAATTTACAAGAAAAAACAAACAACCCCATCAACAAGTGGACGAAGGATATGAACAGACACTTCTCAAAAGAAGACATTTATGCAGCCAAAAGACACATGAAAAAATGCTCATCATCACTGGCCATCAGAAAAATGCAAATCAAGAGTATGTCTTTCTTATTAAATGCTATGTATAAAATGTTACTAAAATAACTAGTGGGATAAACATAATGATTGTCTCCTTATCATATAGATATTCTTATACCAGCAGTACTTCGATAATAAAGGATACAGAGCATTTAGATTGGGATGTGTATGTGTGTGTGTGTCTGTGTGTGTGTTGTACTTTGTGTTCTGATATATAGAGAAATGCAAAATTGTCTCAATTAACTAATTAAAAATTAAAAGCAATATAGTCAGTTTCTTCCAAAATGTCTTCAAAGATATAATATTGGAAAATTCATTCTAAATTTTCAAAATTGAAAAAAAAAATGTGTGCAGTCCTTTCCATAATGAGTTTCTTTTCTGAGGTCCATATGGTTGGTCTTTTGCTTCTATTTTATGGTTTCAAAATTTAATCACACATTGACTCGCTGGAAACACACAAGTGATTATCTTGGAAATGAGACCGAATATATTTGGTTTTGTTTTTGAAACAAGAAGCTGACTCTCGGTAATCTCCACTGCTGTTATTTAGGCTGGGCATGGGCATCTGCGGTGTGTTGGGCACTCAATCATTTTCAATTAAATGTTCCAATGTCTTGTGAAAGTCCCATAAGAGCTTGCAGAATCACGATTATAGATCCATAGAGGAAATGTACTTTTTGAACATTTCCAGGTAAGCAGTTTTCTTGCAACAAAAAGCCAATTATTTTGAGGGATTATGTAAATATTCACTGGAAAACCCTAAACCAAACATGTCTCAATACATTGAAGACACCATTTTGGAATGGTACTGTCATATACGTTTAGTAGATTTTTCAGACATGCACTCTTTTGCTTATAGATTTAAAATTTGTATTTTTAAAAATACATTAATTTTTGAGATTACATTTAAGCATTTTACTCTTTAAAGTTTGGAAACATTGCATATGTGTTTATATAGCAAATTCAACAACATAGTAATTGTAGAAAGTTTGCAGAAAAATGAATAATCACTCAACATTTTAAAAATTGAAATACTATGATTATTTATGTATTTTTAAAAGTTAGTCTATTGCTCTAAGGCTATTCAATAAGATTTGCACTTTTTTTTGCATTTTTTTCGTAACATGTATCATAAATTTGGAACTAATATCCCTCTAGTAGTCACCAGTACAACTTACTGATAAATGGATTATTGTCCACCTATTATACCAGCTGTTAAATATCTTGACTATCATTTCTGCATAAATATACAAAGGAAATAAAATGTGAAAAATAGATTTAATTCAGAATCACTTTAGAGATGTGCTATTATTTTAATTAATAATGAAACTTGAAAAATTCTTATTCCTTAGCCACTTACTCAAAAAAATACATCCTAAAAGAAATTTTCTTGCATTACACATCTTTTTTACACATGATTTTACAATATGTTTGTAACCTCAATCCAGGTATACAAAACTCAAACGTATAGAAGCTTCTAAATTTCAAAGCTAAATAAAATAATAAAATAAAATAAAATAAAATAAACAGCAAACAATGCCAGTGTTTAAAAGTATAGAAAATATGAACATTTACGAAAACCTCCAATGTGAATAGGCAGACTTTCTCAGTGATTGAGGAGGGCTCTAAAGCCCAAGTCTTGCAAATCCAGAGTACCACAAGTGCTTCAAGGAAAAGAGAAAGGAAAGTAAAAGATAAGACTTTATAAAGACGGATAATAGAGCAGCACCTATGATAACGTGGGGCCAGGAGATGTCATGGAAATGTGAGGCATGGTGGACTTAAGCACCACCACTCAAAATTGCAAGAATGAAGATAGTGATGCAACCATGCAGAAACAACATTGAAAATATAACAGCAATGAAGCTCAGGGACAAGAAAACTCCTAGGATACAGCACTCTCACTGTGAGTCACTAGTGCAGTGTTTTTCAAATTGCAAATTGTGGCTTATTAATGAGTTACAAAATCAATTTATATGACTTTTTTTTAAAAAGAAAATAATAGAAAAGGAAAATGTAGAAAAGAAGAAAGAGTAAAGAAAATGTCACAGAATATAAGAGAAAGCAAGCTATTATTTCTTGTATATATGTGTTTACATAGTATGTATGCTTGTCAAATATATTTTTTATTGTATGTCACACCTTAAAGGGTTTGAAAATTGTTACAATAAGCATATCAGCTATGAGAAAGCTGGGTATTGCAGAAATTTAGGGGAAAAAATATGTTAAGTCTTAGTTCCTGTGAAACAACACTATATAAAAATGTGTGTTCAAACTAAAGATATCTTAGCTCTAGAAAACAAGGTTGTCACCAAAACTCCTCTGTTTAATAACAGAGAAGTTTGATCCTTTGAGAATGATTACATCTAAATGATTTAAAAAATACCTTCAAAACTTTCAGTTTTAAGTTTCAATTATCTTCAAGCTTTACTTATTCAGAGCATTTAATTTTTCAGCTATCAGATAAATGCTATGGACTTTACTATTATTTTCTGAAGATCACTGGTTTTAATATTAGAAATGAAACAAATCATGAAGCAGAAGCAGTAGTATAATGATAACACAGTGTTTAATATCAATACTAGATCTTATAAGGTTAATGAGCACTATTTTATATTAAAGGAAGTAATGGGTTGTAAAATTACTCTTGTATAAAAAATAGGACCTCATCATTCCAAAGTGTCCTTGAATTGAATGGTTTATAGGCTTCTGATTGATTAGGATGCTTATAGAAACATTTTATATAGTGTCACATTGTTCTTATGATGTACGCAGGTTGATAAAATGGAAGATTCTGAGAAATGCACACTCATAATTTTTTCATTATGAAAACACGAAAATATTGCAAAGAGTTCTAAAATAAAATTTTAATAGTCAATAATTTTCAAATAAGTTGAAAACTTTTCTGAAGAATGGTTATTGTTAAATATATTATAAAGATTTTATGCTTAATGTACATATACACAGTAGATGAGAGAATGAATGCTTACTCAAGATATTTTGATCTTTTAACTGGGAATTAATATTCTGTGTTTACCAAAGAAAAGAAATTTAAGTATAGATTAGGCATGGGTAATTGTTTTGCTTCAGCAGAAAGTCCTTAAGAGATTAGCTTAGGCATTTGTCACAATCTTCAATATTTTTCTTTCAATGCAAAAATCTGTAACTCCTTCATGATCATAGCAATCTTATCTTTTCTAAGGATAATCTTTTATTTGTTGTGCCATAAATTGGCTGGAATTATACAGTTTCTAGTGCAATGTGACTGCTTTGTTTTTTGAAACTGTTAAAATAATCATCAATGAACACTACCTTATCAGTAAAAAGTAGTTCAGGATTTAATAGGCACTCTAAAAATGCCATTATTTTCAAGTCTTCTAAAGAGCACTTACCTCTTTCTTGCATAGGTTATTTCCTGTTTCAACCACAAGCTTCTAAGCTTGGAGGCAAGAAGTGCCTTAAAAAATCAGAATCAAGTAGCACATGCTGATATTAATCAGAATAGAAGTCCATTTTTTATTTGCTATCAAAGTTTAAAATCTACTGGTGAAATTAATATGCATGTTATTTTCCCCTGTAAAGCTAACCGATAATGTAATGAGACTCCTCCTACTTGACACTATACTAATGTCATAATTGATTTTAAAAACTTGTATAAGTAGATAAACTTAGAATCAGCGTTTCAATTTACAGTTTAAGGGAGTAAGTAGGCTTGAGTTTTCCACTTCAAACTTCATTTATTACTGCATGAAAATGTCTTTGACCCTGTCAGACAGAAGTACTGATAGTGATGTTTGAGTAGAAACTTTTGTTGTTGAGACTGGCAACAGGAGTCTTTGGGATTCTGAAACTATAAATAGAAGAAAAAAAGTCTATTGCTTTTGATAAAATCAATTGTGCAGATATGGGCAATGCCATCTCAATACTGAGCAAACTCTAACTCATGATAATTGTGAGGATGGAATAAGAAACTGAAGAACATATCCAGAAATATTTAAAACAAAAGAGTAGAGGCCAATGAGAAGAAAAGCTAAGGAACCACCTTGTTCTTTCTCACACACAAATGCACAAAGACACATTAAATTAATCAATACAAGTAACTGCAATAGGTGAAAAAACACAGTGGGAAATCTATAATTTAAAAGATAAGTTGTTTAAGAGTTTACTTCATCTGGGTAATTTATTCAATCCTCTCCTTCCATTTTCTCTGTACATTTATGCTTCTGTTTCAGTACCAAGTATCTGAAATGTTAAAACACAAATCCAATTTAACAAATGAGGGTACTAACTATATTAAGATGCAAAGTTTTTCAAACATGTCTATTTTCAATATTATGTTAAACAGCTCTGGGACGGAGAAATGTGTATGTCTAATCACACATTCTTAATGACATTAATGATAATACATTGTGCATATTTCAACAGATTGGAAAACAACAACAAAAAACCTCCAAGATACAGTAATGAAATTTACTTTGGCTTTAAAATTGCCTTTGTCCTTGCTCTTCATGTGCACACTTGCATGATGACTTCAAGGACAGTATTTAGTAAAACAAACATCATTTACCTTCTCCTTTTTCTTTAGCTTGCTTTGATGTTGTGCTAAAGGCACAGAGAAGATGGAAAAGTTGGGTTCATTAGAGCTGGGAATTAACTAGATAATAATGGATGGAGAAAGGGAAAAAACAAAACAAAACAAATCTGATTGACTGGATCCTAAGACTGGCTAAGGAGGGAAGTGAACGGGAGAGGGCCATTAAAGAATAAAGGAAAATAGTGGGCCCCTCAGTTAAGACTGGAGGTTTTGATGATATATAAGAAAGTAGCGAACTGAACAAATAGAAGTTTGTAATTAGAAAAAAAAATGAGACTTTTATGGAAGTAACAATGATGACAATGTGAAGTGTGTCATCATGGCGGAGGTGGAGCTAACAAAATAATTATTGGACAGGAGAAAATCAGAGAACTGAGAAGTCAAGGTATTAGTGGGATTATAAAGACAAACATTCAGGACAATAAATTTTGAAATAATTTTTTTCTTGCTCCAATGACACTATTCTCTTGATTTTTTTTCTTAGAATTCTTAGACTGTATTGCCTTTTCTTATTTTCTAAGTGAGTGTATTCTAAGATGTTCAATGATGTGCTCTTTTGTTTTCTTTCTTTAGCTTGGAAACATGGTTGGCACCTGTCTCTGTAAAAATTCCAGTTCTGCCCTCTTCCCTGATTTCTAATTATTTATTTAATTAATTGCTGGATCAAGATGTATTTCTTGGTTTTCTTGTAACACTTGAATTCAGCATGTTCAAAATGGAAATCATCAGTTTTTCCCTCTCGGCTTTATTTCAATCTCTTTTCTCTTTTGTTTAATTGCTTTGTTGGTTAGTCTTTAAATTGTTGTTTTTCTTTTTGGCACTACAGTTGCACCTGTTGTACAGACTAGAGGCTGTAAAGAGAGTTTCTTTTATCTCTTCCTTAACACCATACACTGCCTAGCTTCAGAAAAGTTGTATTTACTTTTTCAGGGCTCTTTTATTGTTTATTATGTGCTTTCCTTTATTATTTCTCTCCCTTATGTAGGAACTTGTTATCTGTCTTAAGAACTGTATATATGGCCTCTTTATTGGATTTTCCCCAGATGTTTCACATTAATTTTCTTAAAGGAAACTGATCAGGAATACTCACTTCTCAAAAATCAAAATAAGATAATTTCATTTTTAAAGAAAGTCTAGATTCTTCAGCTGGCACTCCAGGCTGGCTGTTTCTTACTTTATTTTTTTTTTCTTACTTTAAATGTACAGATGTTTCCCCCACACCTGTACCCCAAACTTTTCAATTTCTTTGCTTTTGTTCATGTTGCTCCTGTTTATGACCAAAACTTTCCTTCCCACATTTCATTCTCTCTTCTATATTGGTGTAATCATCAGTTTTCTGGTGTTAAACTAAAATAATACTTTTTCATGTTCTGCTTTTCGTCCTATAGACTTTCTCTTGGACTAAGCTACTTATAAGCATACTTGTTCTTGATTCTTCATACACAACTTATAGTTTGCCTTTTGCTTTTATTACTCCCAACTCAATTATCATATTAAGTGCTTTTAACCTTATCTTTTCTTAATTTGTAATTTTTTGCCAATAGCAATTTTACTTGGTAACCCTATTCTCACTTCTTTCCTGACATTCCCAATATTTAAATTAATCTTTTCAACATTATGGCCTCTTGAGGGCAAGCATTCTACCCAGGGCTTAGACTCCTATTGAGTTGGTGTATTCTATTTCTACTTGTCAAAATTCTGCTATAATTAAACACCGTAATCAAGAGTTTTATTTTTCATAAAGCCTATTAGAATGTCCCTAATATAGGTGATGAATCTTTCTGATGTTTCATAACTCATTTATGCCACTTACTGTATGCTACCAAATATTATGGTTGATGACATATATCTTATAGAAACTACTTGAATATAATACCACAGAGCAGATATTTATTTTAGTTTTTTATACACCTCACAATCCCTGGTTCAAAAACTTGCACAGATGTTTTTATAGATAATTATTTGATAATTTCATGCATTTATCAAGTACCTATTAAAGAATATACAGCCATTTTTAACTAACAAAAAAGAAAATTCATTGATCTCTTATCTGTCTTAAGATATAAGTGTAGAATAGGACATTTTCTGTTAATTAAACCTGTGGAAATACATTGAAGACTACTCTACAATAAATAGTTCTGAAGTTTTGTTTTTTTCTCATGCATACATGTATAAAGACTATCAGACACATAGATGTTTCATTTATTATATTTTAAAATGAGCCTAAATTTTAATAAGTAAAACACTCAAATTTAAGCTTGCTTATTCTACAATTTATTTGATATTTAAAGAATTGCTGCCATAAAAGTATGAAATCAATACCAAGAATAAAAGAAAATCTAATTTCATTACAACTAAATTGCACAAAAATGAAATCTGAGGAGAAAACACGGGTTGAGGTACACTGCAATGACCTAAAGCAATAATTTTTCAATAATTAATATGACTTTACATATATGTGGAATGCTATTTATAAATTATGTTTAGAAATATTTACTTGATCTTCAATAACAAAAAACCCTTAGTGTAGTTTTAAAATTTGTAATGATCACTGCAATAAATAGACCCACAAGTAGTCCTTTTGTATTTCTTGCTGTTTTTCAACTACATCCTTAACTTCTGACAGGAAGTTATTAAAAAGTACATTTTTAATCAGCTTCACAGTTTTCAGAATACTGCTCTTTTAGATTGCTTTGTATTTACATTTTAATTTTTTAAAAAAGCTACCAAGCAACCCCAGCTTCTAATATTTCTCCTCTTCTCCTTTTTTCTTCCTCCTCAATTATTTAGCAGTGTTTGGGCTTCGTTTAGAGATGTAATCTCAGTCTACCCAAAGGGGAAATGCCTAAGCTAAAGTTTGTTCAGGATTCTTTTTTCCTGAACTCAATAAACTTTAAATCTTTTACTTGAACAATTTTCAAATCCATTTGTCAATTAATTTACATTTACTTATCCCTTCCTTTCTCTAAAAATATGATAACATAAATATTGGGTGTATTATGCATAGACTCTTACTATAATTTCTTAATCAAAAAGTCTTTGCTTAAAGCAGAAAAAGGATCAAGATGTTTTTGTAACTCCTATCACCTTATTTCACTTTCCAGTGAAAATATCACAGGAAATAGAGAGGGATTAAGTTTTTAAAAAACTCCCTGGTTTTAAAACTTTAATAATATTTACTGCCCATCTGTGGAATTTCTAAACTGAAATAAAGCCAGTAGACATCTTCCTATGGTGACATGGTGCATAAGGCATAAAGTTACTGACTATATGATTCTGCTTTGTCTTAAAGGAAGTATAAGATATAAATATTTGAAATTTTTGTTCATTTTTCTTAAGATAGAACAAGATGTTGTCTTGAATGTGACATTTTTTTCAAATAGGAAAGGTGACTTTTTTTTCATCTAGGAAAAGTAAGTTTAATTTTCATAGGATTAATTTTAGTGCTAGACCCCAACATATCCTATCTTTATGAAAAAAAGGCAGCACGAATCCCAAGGGGGATATCACTGTTTGGAAAAAGGAGAGACTGGAGAATTTCAAATTTTGCATAGTGTTTAACTCTGTCCCTTTCCACACCAGGAAGATTCTTTTCCTAGGAGACCTACATGATGGGACTCACTTCTCCATTACTGAACTTCTTGTTTTTTATTCCTGTTAGGAAGCAAGAACCTAAAAGAGGGGATGTGAACGATTAAGGCAAAGAAAGTTTCCATTCTCAGTACCTAGGGAGTGAATAATCCCATAGTTTCTAAGCACAGAAAAGATTAGAAGTACTGTCGCTATGGTATAACTGCACAGAATAAATGCCCCAAATACAAATTAAAGAATTTCACTGAAAATTAGTAATCAGGTTTGTATCTGGTTCAAAATATTAAATAAAAATCAACATCTGAGAGACTTGTGGCAATACCTTTCAACAGTAATTTATAAATTAGGAATTGTGCAACATACAGGTAATCTCTTATTAGATATGTAGAAAACAAAACACCGAGTTAATAGGTTTTCTAAAAAAAATCTGTTCAGATTGAAAACAACTTCATCAATGAACGCCTCAGGATATTTGAGAATAAATGTATAAACATATTTTGTCTCTCTTTTTACTTTTAACTTTTCTGTTGTTCTAGGAAGAAACTTCTGAAAAAATATCTTTAGATATAAGGAAAAATAAACATCTTTATAGTTTTATAGAATTGATAGAAACAAAATCAAAATGTTATCTCAAACATAAGTTTTCCAACTTTTTAATTATTTGGGCTGGTTAAAGAGAAACGTTCTGGATGGACTAAGTGTTCTCATGTAAAGTGGCGTAACGTTATCGTCTCACATCTGATGCTATTTTCACTGTCCTGTTACTCCTGGTGTCTAGCTCCTACTCTTTTTTCAGCCTTATCATATAGAAACTGTAGACTGGAACCACTTTTAAATGATCTCTTTGGATGCCTGAACAGCAGGGAAGATTGTTCTTCATTTGTAACAAGAAACTCAATCATTTCTGGGTTCCAATTAGAGAAAGCCTAGGGGGCCCTCTTTATTAAGATGAAACACAAATTGTATCAAGACTTGCTAAACCACTTAATATTTTTATGGTGATATTAAGAAGCTTGAACATTTTAAATACTAATTGGGAATATGTGTAGGCTATTTTTAATCTATGCATAAACTCTAACCTCTATTTCATTAAATTTGCATCTTATGATGCTATTTTGCCACCTTGAAGATTTATCACAGAGACTAGGATCAAGAATTCTTGAAGGATTTAGATCAGTGTCAGCAAAGACTTACACAACTATATCCTCCTGTTAACCAATTTTGTAGATGCTGTTGTTATTTCCTTTGAGGAAGTTTTTTTTTTTTTTTGAAAAATTTTGTTTTAAAATACAGATTGGCAACTTGAATACTTTATCTAGATCTTTACATTTCTATGTAAACAATTTAAAAAGACATATCTGAATTTAACTACATATTTACAGAGCCATTTGCTTTAAGATGAGACAAAAAAGCTTATAAACAGAACTAGGAAAAAATCATGACAGTTTAGATTTTGGGGGGTAATTTTGAGTATACGGAAGTGTATAAATACATGCATACAATTTTCTCTGTATGTTTAAAAGTTCAAACATCAAGAAAAGGTTGCCTCCTAAGATACTAAATTACTTCCTTTGAGTAGTATTATAAAGATGAATTCTCTAAACCCCAAAGTATCACCAGTATAACTTCTATTTTAATATGGGTCTTATGTGACTTTGTGGAAAGGGCAAGATTTCTACATTGCTACAAATCATAGTTTTATTTTATCATTTTTTGCTGCTTCAAGAGATGTTAACGATGTACATAGCACAAGACAATCTAGCCTGTTATAAAATAAGAATTGGTAAATTCAAATAGCAGTTAAAAGATTTAGGATAAATGAAGCATGTTGAGAACTATTAATAATTTGGCTTTTATTAAGGATACTAGGGGAGTGATTTGTCTATCTAATTGAACGATACATATTATTATATTTTTCCAATATATTATATTTTTCCAATATTTTATATACCTAGTTTCTTCACTTGTTATCATATAATGCTCTTTCAGAATTTTCATAGATATAGATCTGATAAAATTATCCTCCCTTTTTGTTTTTTATCTTCCTGAAGACAGAAAAAAACAAACTGTTTACTACTTTCTACTTACACATTTACTACAACACTTCATCTCTGACCACCAAAATGTGTGTTACCAACAATCAGTTTCCCCCACCAACAATCAGTTTTTCATGAGACACCAACTGGGTGTCATGTAATTCAATTCATGTATACGTCAGACTGCAGATTGAGGTCTCAGTCCCACAAGATTGCCTCCCATTTCAGATGCCACTCACATGCACTAGGCTGTTACCTGTACTTCTGACCAACTGCCTACAAACCATGATTTCCGTGACTTCCTTCTTGGGTGTTGTTAATTTGGTGGGATAGCTCACAGAACTCAGGGAAACACTTTGCTTATTTTCACTCATTAATTATAAAGAATATGACACAAAACTATCAAAACCCTAGGAGAAAACCTAGGCAATAACATAGGCATGGTCAAAGAGTTCATGATGAAAACGCCAAAAGCGATTGCAACAAAAGCCAAAATTGACAAATGGGATCTAATTAAAGTAAAGAGCTTCTTTCTGCACAGCAAAAAATACTATCATCAGAGTGAACAGGAAACCTACAGAATGGGAGAAAATTTTTGCAATCTACCCATCTGACAAAGGTCTAATATTTAGAATCTACAAGGAGCTTAAACCAATTTACAAGATAAAAAACAACAACCCCATCTGAAAGTGGGCAAAGGATATGAACAGGCACTTCTCAAAAGGAGACATTTATGCAGCCAACAAACATACAAAAAAAAGTTCAACATCACTGATCATTAGAGAAATGAAAATCAAAACCACAATGAGGTACCATCTCACACCAGTCAGAATGGCGATTATTAAAAAGTCAAGAAGCAATAGATGCTGGCAAGGCTGTGGAGAAATAGGAACGCTTTTATACTGTTGGTGGGAATGTAAATTAGTTCAACCATTGTGGCAGGCACTGTGGTGATTTCTCAAGGATCTAGAACCAGAAACACCATTTAACCCAGCAATCCCATTACTGGATATATACATAAAGGAATATAAATCGTTCTAATATAAAGACACAAATTCCTCAAGGATCTATAACCAGAAATACCATTCGACCCAGCAATCCCATTATTGGGTATATACCCAAAGGAATATAAATCATTCTAATGTAAAGACACATGCACACATACGTTTATTGCAGCACTGTTTACAATAGCAAAGACTTGGAACCAGCACAAATGCCCATCAATGATAGACTGGATGAGGAAAATGTGGCATATATACACCATGGAATACTATGCAGCCATAAAAAGGAGTGAGATCATGTCCTTTGCAGGGATATGAATAAAGCTGGAAGCCATCATCCTCAGCAAACTAATACAAGAACAGAAAACCAAACACTTCATGTTCTCACTCATAAGTGGGAGTTGAACAATGAGAACACATGGACACAGGAAGGGGAACAACACAAACTGGAGCCTGTTGCAGGGTTGGGGGTGAGGGGAGGGAACCTAGATGATGGGTTGATGGATGCAGGAAAACACCATGGTACAAGTATACCTACGTAACAAGCCTGCATGTTCTACACATGTTTCGTGGAACTTAAATTAAAAAAATCTATATCTATATCTATATATCTATATATCTATATCTATATATCTATATAGCTATATCTATATCTTTATATCTGTATATCTATATCTATATAGCTATATAGCTGTATATCTTTATCTATCTATCTCTCTCTCTCTCTCTCTCTCTGTCTCACAAAGGCAACTGATGAACAGCGAGATGAGGAGATGGATAGGGCAAGGTATGCAGGAAGAGGAGAGGAGCTTCCATGGCCTCTCCTGGCATGCTTCCATCTTGGACCTTCTGCATGCTCTGCAATACAGAAGCTCTCCAAACCCTGCCCTTTTAGGTTTTATGGGGGCTTCATTAGGTAGGCATAATTGGTTATATCAGTGACCATTGATGATCATCTAACCTTCAGTCACCTCAGCTCCCTGGAGGTTGAAAGGAAAGTGGGACTGAAAGTTCCAACCTGTATTTACCCAGTAAGCTGCCCAGGAGCCCACCAGAAACTTCTGATTAGAACATCTCATAGGAGCATCTCAGAGCAAAAGATTCTCCTATCATGCCCAAGGGACTTAGAAGCTCTGTGTCAGAGTCTACTATCACTCAGGAAATTACAGTCATGCACCATATAACAACACTTTGATCAATGATGCACCATATATAGGATAGTGGTCTCAAACTATTATAATACTGTATTTTTACTATACATTTTCCATGTCTATACACTCAAATACTTACCATTGTGTTACAATTTGTTCCAGTATTCAGAGCAGTAACATGATGTACAAGTTTATAGCATAATCAATAGGCTATAGCATATTACCTAGGTGTGTAGTAGGCTGTGCCATCTAGGTTTGTGTAAATGTAGTCTATGGTGTTTGTATAATGACAAAATCACTTAATAACACATTTCTCAGGCTATATCCTCATAGTTAAGTAGCATATGACTGTATAAACGTCTTAGGAGTTTCTTGCCAGGAAACTCTTGCAAGGGTAAGAAGCTAAGTAGAACAAAAATTTCTGCTATCACCACTATCTATTGGGGCTTCAGGAGCACTATGTTAGGAGCTGGGGGAGAAGACAAAATACATATTTCTTATATTACAAGATCACACTCTCCAAGTGTTGTCAGTACTTAAACACTTGATCAGTTCCATTAACACTGCCAATCTTCTTGTTTTGATATTGTTTACAATATTTGTTATTATTTTTCACAACTTTTATCCCTTCTACAAAATTTTGTTAGAATGGTATATATCCTTCCTCTTAGAAAGGATGCCATACCCATAGACATCACTTACTCAGTGCCTCTGTTCTAATTGTGTTCACAATAACATAAAATAAATTCAATATTTCTATCAAATTTAACAAAGCTTTTGAGAAAATGATTCCATGTGATAAAATTATGCTGAAATTAGAAAACTTTCCATACTAAGCCTAGAAAAATATTCATCATGTTAGAAAGCAGGAGGTACTAGATGAAGCATCAACTATAGAGGAAGACCAGGGTTTGAATACTTCTCTCATCTATATTCTTATATGCAGCACATTTTAAAAAGTGATATTCATCAAAGTGTTCTTTTGAGAATTACAGAAAATAAATGTAAATTACCTAGGATAACAACTAGCAGATGGTAATAGATATTATTAACAACTATTTCTATCATTAATTATTACAGAAGACTGAAATTTTTGAAGAGGGGAATCTATGGTTCATTTATCCTTCTTTTCTAAAAGCATATTTTGAGATAGGGCTCCTTTGCAGGAATTTTGTTAAAAGAAAACTCACAGTAAAAACCTCTAAAAGAATGAGAAAAGCAGCAGAGGTGAAATGGAAAAGATTCAGGTGGTTTCAAGCAAAGCTGTGCCACAAGGGTGGCTCTAAGTGCAAAGATTTTTATCTTTTTTATATTTATTTTATGTTTTATATTCTTATTTTATATGTATTTGTATGTATGAATATGAATACTTATATATTTAATATTATTTATTATAATAAGTATTATTTAGTATTCATTATTATTATATATATTTATACTCATATTTTATATACATATTTATAAAAATTATATATTTATATATAAATATAAATATTTATATTTACTTATATCCAAATACATCTGAGGAAGATTTGCCCCAATAGCCTAAGGGTAGTCTTCCAATGTGGGGTGTGAGCCATTAGCAGCAGAATCTGGGCCACACGACTTGAGCAGGGGACCAGAAATGACTGCTACTGGGACTCAACAAATTAGTCTCTGAATACATATCTGCTTAGTTAAATAGAATAGAAGCAGATTATATTTGCTATACCTCCGACTCTTTTGAGTGAGTGTGTGATGGTCCTTTTGGTATCTTATAGAAGTTAGCATATGGTTGTGTACAAAATACATGTTAAATATTAAAAAATTGATTTACTAAATTTACACATATTTAACATTTCTTATTTTTGCTATCTACATGCATGTTTCAATCCAATAGGCCAGAACCTGTTTTGTGGACAAAGGATGGCGGAGAATTACCAGATCCTGACCGAATGGTTGTGAGTGGTAGGGAGCTAAACATTCTTTTCCTGAACAAAACGGATAATGGTACATATCGATGTGAAGCCACAAACACCATTGGCCAAAGCAGTGCGGAATATGTTCTCATTGTGCATGGTGAGTAAATTTTGGAAAACATTATATGTGAAAGGATGCATAACTTGAAAAACTATTTAAATATATCAGAATTTTAAGTGCAGTGAACAAAATTATATGGTTTCTTTTTACTTCAGGACATCTTATGAGATATTTAATTATGAGATATTATATTTAATATTAATATATTCCCAGTCAGACTGATAAAATTGTAACATACATAAAATTTTTTTTTGTAAAAAGCTTTCTCAATTATAAATATACTTCTTACATGTTGGCTCGTAAACTATATTAATGATTGTCTTTATTTTATTTTTTATTTTTTTTGGAGACAGAGTCTTGCTCTGTTGCCCAGGCTGGAGTGCAGTGGCATGATCTCAGCTCATTGCAGTCTCCACCTCCCGGGTTCAAGCAATTCTCGTGCTTCACCTCCTGAGTAGCTGGGATTACAGGCATGCACCACTATATTTTTAGTAGAGATGGGCTTTCGCCATGTTCACCAGGCTTACCTCGAACTCCTGGCTTCAAGTTATCAGCCTGCCTCGGCTTCCCAAAATGCTGGAATTACAGGTGTGAGCCATCACACCCGGCTGATTGTCTTTAAATTCTATAAATAAATGTGTTCACTTATAATCCAGAATCATGAAAATTACATTTCCTTTAAGCTAATTTTTATTGTATTATCATAAACATATACTTTATAACTTCTGTAATTTGGTTTCACAAAGAATGACAGTGTCATTGAAATGCAGCAAAAATGGGAGTGTACAATATTAGCAATAACTGCATCAATTTCACTGAACAATAATTTAAAGTTCCTACAGACTTTTTCTTGACTCTATTTACCTCACAATTTGAGTAAATATAACAAAATCACAGAAAGAAATACCAGTCGCCATGAGTGAATAAAATTTCTGTTTTTTCCAACTTTCAAATGCCACAATGGGTTTTTCATAAGGTAGCTTCTTTTAGATATTGTTAGATGGAGATGAATTTTTACGAGATTGATGAATATTGCAATAAACAAAATTAGTCAGGTTTCTTTACTACAGTACTTCCCAGACTTTATTGTATATGTCAGGGTGCATTGCGAATCTCCACTAGGAAGAGCCATTAGCCAATGTAAGATTTTCATCATATTTCACCAAGAAAACTTTTCTGGGACTAGTATTATATTCAACATAATATTACAGTATACTAAATGAGTGTTATACATAACACAGTGCTGTCATAAATCGTGGATCTTAGAAACTATGGACAAAATATGTTTATTTGATATCTTTCCCTTGAATGCATTTATGGAATACTAAAAGACATATGTGTTTGTTCCATACCTTTCCAAAAAGAAATTTGGGGGTCTAGTATATTTCTTTGTAAAGAGATTAATTTTAGAGAGAAATTAATCTAACAAGTGTTATTTTTCCCAGGTATTCATTTTGTTCATTTTGCCAAAGTTGGAAAAAATTAATATGTTCAGTCAATATACAGTTTTCCTATTTTCAAGTTGCATTATTGTATAAAATCTCTCAGTACTTAATACTGCTTTGCTATGGTAAGCAACGAAAGGCTCACAATGAATAGGCTATTCATGTAAAACATCTAGAAAATAGTAGAACTAACAGTTGAATTTCTAGCACTTCATGAATTGTACAAAATTCAACTTTGGAAAAATTAGCCTAATCCAATTAGACTGATAAATTGTATTTAAATGTGGTAATCCCTGTAGACAGACCCTGCTGGCCTTTCTGCCAGAGAGAATGTTACAACCACTGGGTGTGTCAGGAAGGTAAGTGAGATCCTTAGAGCAGGATCCAAGAGTAGATTTCAGTTGATGCTCCCTGGATGTTTAGATCATGCAGTCATGTAAGGAAAGTGTAGTCTATCTGATTCACCTTAATTTTCCAAGTGCTTCTCTCACCTAACAGTTTCTGAGCACCTGGGGATATGTTGTATAGCATGTCACATTGTGTCAAAAGCAATATGACATAAAATATTGAGAATTAGAAGAGAAGTGACAGAAAAAATAATATACCTAAATGAAAAGTATATCATTTTTTTAAAGTAGCTCATCAGGAAAATTCGTATATTTTTTCAGTGCTTGCAAGCTAGCCAACAGCATGATTTCCTAAATAGCCAAGCTACCTTTAGGTAGTTGGCAGTTGATGTATTTCTAATAAATACTTCCCTAAGCACTTTGTGAGAAGTCATTTTTGGCTTTGCTTTTTGAACTACAATTCATCAAAAGCATCCCATAGATTAATGCTATTCATGCTGCTAGATAAATGCTGTGAAGTTCAACAGTGGTTTACCTAGGATTATTGACACAAGTAATGAGAGGCTCGATGAAACAGTGAAACCATATTATGCTGTGTTTAAAAGGGGCGCCAATTGGGTTCATGGCAAAATAAAGGTTTTTTCCCCTTTGCACGCTGGGTATAATGTTTCATTAGTCACTAGTTGTATAAATATAAAAAGCTACTCTCTTCTTTTAATGGTTTGGCTGTTTCAAAACCTTACTAAATGATGAAATTTGAGTGGCATTTCGATCTATAATGAATGCTGTATGCATTTTTGGAATGGAGTGATAAGTGATCATTTGTGAGAACTTTACCCTTTTATCTTTTACACCAAGGTTGATTTTACGTTAGTGGTGATAATTTAATATAGCTCTAGTACAGAGGATTTTTCACGAGCTGAGACCCGTGTCTTTGACTCTACCACAATTGCTTAGATTCTATTGATTCTTAACTTGATGGAGTTCTGAGCACTTTCCTGTGAAATCATCTACTATCTGGATGCCGTCATAATAGTTAGATTTTATTGTTTGGGTGTCAGTGCATTATTTAAGTGCACTATTAAGCATTATTAAGCATTATTTAAATGCTACCACATTTAATTGTTAAAACCACTGACATTTTGTGTTAGAAACACTGGTGATTCCCCCACTCCCTCCTAATTACACCTTTAAAATTTTCAGCATTAGGATCACATGTAGTAATTTAACTGCCAGTCTAAAATTTATCCTCAATGAAAGGCCTACCCAGAGTCACCATACTAATACCTGTAAGATTAAACATCTTGCTTAAGAAACATTTGCACTGTGAAGGTTCCATTAAGAAAGAAAGTAGCACATTTTATGAACAAGCTTGGCAATGGAAAAATTTATCTGTTAAATTGGTAGCCATAATTATACTAATTAATTCCTCTGAGCACAGTAGTTTCTATTTTCTTCTTTATAAAAATGTTGAAGTATATCTCTTGTGATTATTGTGGTCATACTATTTATTTATTTACAATGGATGATTATATCCATAGTTTTAATGGCTTTGAATATCTTGACCCATTGCTATTCTTAACATGTGAAGAACTAGGATCAAGATAAAAACTAATTCACTCACCCAATAGATATATAGTACTTATCTACCAGGTACAAAGGAGCAAAGATAAATAACAAACAAGAAGATTATAGTTTAATGTGGAATATAAGCTAAGCATTTAGATAATTGTGACACAAAATAGAAGAGTTATAGGGAGCTATAGTAAGATGGTCATACAATGTGGCAGATGTTCACACTTTGTGTAGTTCCAACTGTATGGAATGTTTAAAAATACTAACATATAACTATTATTTATAAATATTATAAATATAAATAATCATAATAAATATTTAAATATAAATATTATGATAAATATTATTACAAATTAATAAATTCATTTATAATATGACATACTTTGTAAATGGAATTACTCAGCAAAGTGCCAGTTATACAGATATATAATAAATTAGACTATTCTTACTCTTATATTTCTAGTAGTCTTATTATACCAAGGACAATCAAACTCCAAGGGTCTGGTAAGAAACTTGCCCATGAGTTGCATACAGTTATTGCTCATAATCTTCCCTGAAAGCTACCGGAACATAAATTAGGTTAACGCTATTGAAAAATGAGAAAACTCTAATTTTTTTCTATGAGATAGAAAATGTCTTAAAATCTCAACAATGTTAACACATTGACCATGTACAAAGCAAGACATAAGTTATAGTCACCCTTGTTCTCTAATGCAACATTAAGTTCAGAAAATATAGGTTGAATATCTTGTCTTCAAGCAGAAACTACCCGAATGTGCATCCATTCACTATAGAGAACATAACAGATGATACCATTTTATCATGCAAGGTATGGATCTAGGGAATGACCAATGGTATTATGCTAATTCTGTTTTGTGATTGGAAGCAATGCATACTCTTCTATTTATCATCAATTGATTAAAAATACACTCATAAAAGTGACAGAAATGTACAGGACCTGGAAAGCTTTGAGAAAGAACATCTACGGAAAGTGAGAAACGCAAATTACCACATTCCCCAAACCCTAAACTTCTTCCCTCTTAACCTTCCCAGTGTCTCTTTTACCTCCCTTTAAACTCATTAGAGAAATTAATAACCACTGCTCAAAATACAAATGGGAAATGGACAGATATGCTGCAACTCTTTAATATCACCTCCATTCTCAAAGCCTCCCTCAGGATCTGGGAAGAAATACAGTAATACCAGCAGAAAAAATAGTAACTAATTTCTCCTTCTGCCAATAGCTATACTATCAATGGCAGGTCCAGATTGTAGACAAGGGTAGCAAGGATAATGTTTAGAGCTTTGGAGGGGAACCCATGTTGTCTCACAGTTATAGCAGAGTTGAGATGCACTATTCCATAAAGTTTTTTTGTAATATTCCCCTTTCCTTTTCAAATTTATTTTTTCTTTTACCGTAGTAACCCTATGTGAGTGTTAAAATTATTTTACCACTGTGCTAACTTATTCCCTTACTTCATTATTTTCTCCTTGTATGAATAAGTTTTATAACAATTCATCACTCCTTTATTATCTTAACTCTTGCTATCATTTAGAATGAAATTGCCCACTATGCACCTTTCCACAGATTTCGTTTTCTTTACATGTATGTATTTTGCTTTTCTAGCAAATTTGACCTTTACAACCATGTAAGATAAGTAAAATCTCTATAATTAGTATTATGATACTATATAGTAAGTTAGAATCAAGATTTGCTTATATTTCTGTCCTGCTAATAAGCTTATCACGATTTCTGATAATCTTAGTCTCTCTAAAGTATCACTTGACTGTTACGGTTTGTTTTATTTGTTCATGTGTCTATTAAACAGTGATGGAAATATGATACTGCTTTTTATGTTTCCAGGATAATTTACTTCAGAAGTAACATATATAGAGAATAGGATACGTCATATTTTATTGTTAGTTGGTAGGATACATTATTTTAAAAAGAGTGTTCTGGAGTTTTAGAATTTTAATAGAGAATATTACTGCTAGAGATCTCTATGTGCTTTGATCTACTAAAAGGTATTAAGCTATTAAATGTGCCTTTCTAGCTCCTAAGAATCAATAAGATTGCTACTTTCATTTCACTCAGCTTTTATTGTTAATAATAAATGTCAAAAAACACTCAAAGACAGAAAATCGTACACATAGATATTATAGACTGCTGGATCAAGCCAAACTTCCAAGCTTTGTTGCTCATGTAGACACATATCGTTTTCAGAGACTGTAGGTAAACACAGGTTCCCTCTTCCATCCTGGGTAGTGATTCTCCATTTCAGTTAACTTGCTTACTATGGGAGAGGAAAAATTGAGTCATGGATGGTATCTTTTCTTTCACTTTAACAGACATTTCCAATCCATCTATCATATTTTTCAAATATGTAACAGATGTGCAAAATATAAATTCATTTCCTTTAGAGTTGTCAGTACTTGACCCTAAATTTAGCAAAATAATATATATGTCAGTGAATGCAGCAATCATTAAGCAACAGATTAGGAACATCATAGAGTAATACCTTAAATTTGCTTTTAAAATTTTCTTGCCATAGAACTAAGCAAATATTATATAATAATACATCCCTAATCTTAGAGAGATATATCTCTCATGTATTCATGTCATGATTATCAATGATCTGAGAACTTCATCACAATACAATGAAAAATGTCCTTTTGTGCTTCATAGTAAATGTGTAGCTAGGCCGGAAGATTGCCAGCCCCTGCAACGTGCATTTACTATTAAATTATCCAGCAACGAAACATCTAGCAGTATTGAGAGGCTACATGATTTTTTTAGGCAAGGTGATCTTTACAGGTCACACTGAGAACTAGGAGAGTACATCTTCTAGCTCGTATGGGTGGCTGGGGAAGGAAAAAAAGAAGCCTGGATTATGGACAGATGTAAAGCCTAGCAAACATTAAAAAGGGATTCAACTAAAATCTGTTCTTTCACATGGAAACAGACCTACCAGTTGGTAAGTTAATTCTGTGTACTCGTAATGAGCATTTTTCCTTTGGAGCATTTTTCTTAGAAGCATAGATGGAAAATATACAGTGGAGGGAAAAAAGGATGGAAAAGGCATCCATACTGAGCAACAAACAGTGTGCTAATGGAAGAGCCCTATGGTTGCTGCTCTCATCTCTGGTTGAGAGTTTCCAGGCAGTAACTAGTTGGATGATTCTTAAAACAGTATCTTCTTTAATCGCTGAGATAAAACGCTATCATTTCTGGACATGAATAAGCAGGGAGAGCTCTGATGCCTGTAGGAAAGGTGTACCTCTGACTGGATGAATATGCTGTTGAACTCTGCAGAGAGAAATGGAATGGCATAAAATAGTAGAGACAGGAGCACTATTTTCATTACAAAACATTTTAAAAGGTGTATGTGTGTGGGCACACTCAACACAGAGTTAAGGCTTAATTATATGTCTCTGTTTTAAGATGAGCATAAAGTAGGTACACTAAGGTTTCTGCTTTTAGAGTAAAAATTCTGTTGAGAGATGCCATTCTGAAATAAATATTTCTATGTGCTAGATGAATCACAGAATGAAATGTACATAGGAAAAAACCGTCATTCCTGCCTTCTATCACTAAACAATTTCATCATTAAAAAAATATTTTCTCAACTTATTTACATATAATATTTTCTCTCAGTTGCAGTATAAAATAAGGTAAAGAGAAGGATAGAATCTGTGGCACTCGGTCCTTCTATATTTGTTTATGTGGAAATAAGGCCAGGCTGTAGCTTTACCAAAATGTACAGAGCTCTTCTACCCAAGTATATGTGTGTTAATTGGCTCATTTGTTACAGATTTCAAGCAATATGCAATGGCCCATGGGAGGAAATGTTGGCATTAGTTTTCAGAAACAATGGCATTCCTAAATAGAAGACATAGATTTTTACATAAAACCTGCTTTGTAGCTTTTTACAGTATAGTTTTCACACATATTGTTACAACATATATACTTGTTTCGGATTCTAAAATTTTTCCTTGATTCTATTCTACCCTTCTCTCCAATTCATCACGAAGTTCCATCAACGTTGCTTCCAAATCACATTCCCAAAGTGGGCACTTCTCTCCATCATCCTCTCTGGCTTAGACTAGGGTCCCTTGTTCCACACTCCCACACCTTCAATCTCTTTCTCACATAGCTTCAATATATAAACGTTTTAAATGCATATCTCTTCATGTCGTTTCCCCATTTAAACTTATACAAAGGCATTTCATCATCCTTAGTATAAAAGCCAAACCCTCATTGTCCTACTTTTCCAAGTCCTGCATTTTATGGCTGCTGCCTACATCGGTGGCATCTCTCATCACTCTTCACACACCCACTTCTGTCTCTCTGGTCCTCTTTCAACTCCTCTAAGTTATCAAGGTCATTTTCTTTATAGAAATTTTGCCTCTGCTTGGAATGCTTGTCCAAGATGCACAAGAAATGCTGCCAGAAATGCTGATCTTTGCAAGATTGATTTCTTATTCAGATCTCAGATTAAAAGGGATTTCTCAGTGAGGCCTTTTTTTTCCATTACCATCTAAATTGTCCCCCAGTCACATATCACTTCAATTAAATACTCTACAAGACATATATCATTATGTGATAGTTTAGCTATTTGTGTGTATGTACATGTTTGTGTGTCTATATATACATATGTATATATATGTACACATATATGTATGCATCTGTATATGTGAATATATTATATGCCCTCACACTAGACTATGACCTCCTAGGAAACAGATATTTTATGCATCTTATTTATTTCTATACCGCTAGCTCTTAGAACAGGGTCTTCTAAATAGTAGGTGCTCAATAAATATTTATTTAATATTTAAATCTGTTTCTGTCTGTCTCTCCCGCTGTTTTCAAGAGAAGAAACTTTAGTGAAGCAATACATACACATATACACATATATACACATACATACCCATATCTACATATATACACACATATACGAATATACAGGGGTGTGTTTGTGTGTGTGTGTGTGAGTGTATATATATATATACACTCATACACTCACACACACACACAAACAGCCTTGACTTCTGGATAAAATCAGGGAAATAATTGATATTCCTTGGTCACCAAAATAATAACCTTTAGTTTTTATCCCATATTGAAAAAAAAAAAGACGTGTTTACTTAGCAACCCAGGTGAAATGTGCCTTACTTATAGAATTAAGTGATTCAAAACATAAATAACTGTGCATAGATTAATTTTTCTAATAAAAATTTTTGCAATTAAAGAGTTATGCAATTGATTCCAAGTATGTGTTTTCATCTTTTTGCAAAGTTAAATGACTTTGCTAACTGAAATTCAACCTTTTATAAGAGAGACCTGGCTGCTCGTGAGAGCTCTGACCATTAGAAATACAGGTGATAGGAGTGGATATTAAAAGTGAAGCTCAATAGATGCTTATTCACAATTATTCTTAACATTATTTAGTTTTATTCAGGGATTGTGTTCTAAGGATATGTCAAAGTGGACCTATTCATTAATATGCATGTGCAAAAATTACCTGTAAATAGACATTCATAGTTTTCTTAAATTATAGGTTAGCAAGGTTATAATAACAATCTTTGAAACATTATTACCTTATCATTTAATTTTTATTTAACTAAACTTTTGTATTTCAATATAGAATATTGCATTTGGATTCACGTTATTACTTTTAAAAACTGGCAGTTAACAAACATTTATGTCAAAATTAGAATTCACTAAAATTAGTGCCGTGTGCATAGTACTCTCTTCACCCTCCAAAATGCAGCACAGTTTAGTTAATCCTCAAAAATGTTGGTTCAGGATTCTGGAAGCTACTTTAATCTTTGATGAAATTTATATATTAAATGAGAAGCGGTATCAAGATAAACCTAAAACATATTTCGGGTAAGTTACATGGTGATAAATCTATAGAGTAACATAAAAATATAACCTAGTATGGGTTAAGCAACTATTTTACAGAATGAAAGATAAAAATGGAAAAAAAAAGTCATGCAAGAAATCTTAAAACAGTTTTTAATCATAAGGATATTATATTTAAGTATGGGTGGATTACTGCAAAAAGTGATTTTTGTATTCTGAAATGTTCACTGACGTTAATATTTTTAAAATAACATACATATTAAGATCATTTTTTCTAGTATACATGAGATTATTTTTCAGTTGAGATAATTAGAGAATAGGAGGCAACAAATGTATTTACTTCATTGCATTTTGAATCTGAACCAACGCCCTTATGGACTCTCGTATGTCCTGACGTCATGTGCAAACGTTTTTTCATGTATCATTTTTTGAGTGAAGGTGTTTTGCTTTTAGAAGATCAACTCTGATCCATCACTGGTTAAAAACTTGGTCTAAAAGGATTTATATAAATGACCAAGCCGAAAGTCTTCAGTTTTTAGATGAGGAAGCATAGATGCATAGAGGTTAAATTACATGCAAAATGGCTCTCAGCTACTTTATCACAGAGCCTACATGAAAAATCAAAATATGTGGATTTCTCAGTCAGTATTTTTCTACTATATCACAGTTCTCCTTGTGTTTATTCATAGCTGATTTACGTTTTTCTTTTAATGGATGACAGTAATATTCTCTTACATTTTCACAGAACTTAAAGTATTGGACCAAATCATGTGATTTACTTTCAGGTAGAGTATTTTAAGGAAAGAGTAGGAAAGGGCTCACAATATTGAAGTAGGCGGAGCTAAATGATATAGGATAATCCACTTCAAAAGCATTTTTTTCATACTTGAAATTTCACTTTACTTTTGTCAGTTTGGAATGTAAAAAAGTATTATAAAAGAAAAAATGCATACATTTTTTCAAATAAAGCATTGATTTTATTCATGAAGTTTTCTTGTAATTACATAGAACTGACAGTTACCGCCTACAGTTTAAAATTGCAGTACTTTTCATATTTTAAGAACAGCTTTTTTTTTCTTGTATAAGCATTCCATTTAGTATGAGAAACCAGTGGAAGCTATCAGAGGGATGAAAAGGGATTTATTCAAATATAATTTTTAAAAGAGTTCCTTTTTATGAAGCAGATGGGGTTACTATATGACTGTTGAGGAGGAGGCGTGTACTGGTGAGTTGGGACCTTCTCAACCTGGTGGTTATCATTTAAGTAAGAGCTTTGGTGCTGTTATCCACTTTTACACTGTGATCCAAATAGGCTGCTGCATGTAGCTGAGCATAATGGGAGCAGATAAATGTCCTTCTTTTTTTGTACAGGCAAAAGCAAATAAAGTAAACTTTCCTCTTACAATTGTTTCCAATGTCAGTCAGTGCAATTAGTAGTAAGGAAAACTACCCTATTATTTTTTAAGATAGGGAAATGTGAGTACCTTTCACCAAAAAAGACACATCTTACCATAATAATTCTAATGATATACCTCAAGTTCTAACACTTCTACATCTCCACTAATAACTCTTAGTGTTTATTTATTCTTTATCATCCTGGGACCACCCCTGGGGGAGGACATTAGTGACATAAAGCAGAAAGAAAGTAAACATATGGATTCCAGACTAAATGGTAACAATTTTTCTCCCTATTGAACACTAGTCCTTGGAGAGAAACAAGCAGCTTGGGCTTCTGGGACTCTTTAGACTTAATTTTGTTTCGAAAATCCATTCTGAATGCCATTTTTAAAAAGATAAACTGCCAGAAAACAAAACAAGTTGACAAGTTAGAAATTATTGTACACTGCATTTGTAGAGAACAGAACATACCTTTAACCTGAAAAGCTCGTTATTGGAAAAAAGGTGCTGTACCACTCTTCAGTTTATTGTATACAGCGCTTGTTGGAAGTGATTTCCTTTTGACAAGGTTATACAGGATCTGTTGTGCTCTAATAAGCTCCAATAACAAAATGTGGTGGCATTTTCTAAAAAATCCTTCATTAGAATATAAAGAAAAGGACACTTTTCTGTTGTTTTTAATTGGATGATATTATTTAGAGCTCTAACACTTTTAAAAACACTGAAAACCTGCGTTTAGAATATAGAACTATTCTGTATGCTGCATTTTAATTTTTTTAATACTCCTTTAGACTGGAAGACTCTTAACAGGAATTATGAAAAATCATCTCACACATGATAAAAGGGAGAGCAACTTTTTTCAGGGATTAACCATGTATAAGCTTCTGTTACTGATTCATATTTTTAAGAATGATACTATTGCCTATCTACTGGTATCATTATCATCAGGAGTGATGTTATTGATAAAGCACCTGTCATTTCTAGAACTGTGGTCCATCCCTGTAGTCCCAGCTACTCAGGATGCTGAGGCAGAAAGATCGTTTGAGTTTAGGAGTTCAGAAATGTAGTGCACCATGGCCATGCCTGTGGATAGCCACTGCATTCCAGCCTGGGCAACATAGCAAGACCCCATCTTTTAAAACAGACAAACAAAAAGCACCTACCACATTGAAAGCATAGAGCTAGCCACCCTGATGAAGTGCAAAAGTTTACCATGAAGTTCATTCTCTCTATTATCTTATTCTCATTTGTTCAGGAAACAAAAATGCAAGCAATATATGTTAAGTATCAAATGAATGTTACAGCTTCTCAATTTCCAATCCCAGATTTTCTGAAGAGCTTTGAGTTATAATCAGTGTACTGCATACTTTATTATTAAAAAGAGCTAAAATAATAGAGTTTACAAACTGATTATGTAAACTAGAGCAAATTTGAAAATGTTATTATAACATCGCACATTTTTAATTTGTGTTTTCTACTGAGGGACAGAAATGGATATAGAGCTAGTGGGACACACATAACTGTGGGTCCTCCCATAGCAGTATGTCATGAATGGAAGCATTATTGGTCATGGGGATTTGGGTGGGACAAAGTGAAGGAAGCAGTAGATAAACTCAAAAAGTACAATGGGTGGTGAAAGGAAATTAGGTGGGCTTAGCTGGTCAAGGAAGTCTTCACAAACCAGGTAGGAATCAGGCTGAGATGTGAGAGTAGCATTTTGTTAGGTATCAGGAAAGGATGGCTATTCTGAAATGAAAAGCTAATGAGGGATTGGCTCAGAGTATATTTGTCTAAGACAAAGTGATATTTTAAAAGACAAAAACATGTTAATTTATAAGGCTGAGCCTACAGTTTATTGGGAGAGGGAAACACATAAATATAAACATGTACACGGGTGTCTGCAAAATGCTTAAAAGCTCAGAGAAGGAAGATATTAACTCTTTGCAGAACTGGGCCATGCTTTCCATATGAGATCCTATTTGAACCAGGATTTAAAGGATGGACATGAATGAGATAACAAATGTGAAACAGGGTGTGCCTCTGAGAACCTACAGCACAAAGAACAGGAAGAGCTATGTCTAGCTCTGTCAAGGGGGTAAAGCACTTGTGTCAGAGGCAGATGTCTTCTTGTATGCTAGGCTTAAGCTTCTTTCTCTACATTAACTTGGCACTTGAAAAATTAATAAAACAAGCCAGACATGTATCCTATGAGGAACTCTAGCCCCTGTTGTAATAGGAAACCACAAAGTTATGGCTACCTCAACACAATAGTGGGTGGTGCAGTTTTGGAGTTCCTATCAGAGTCACGCAGGTTAAGCAGGAGAGATGATGGACTGATGAATTTATCATATTCAAGTTTAGCCATGGTCCTGTAAACAGATTTTAGTTTCCTGATTTGGCAAATGCGTTGTTTTAGCTGAAATTATACTTCTGCATGTGACTAAGTTCTTATAGAAGTACTCAGATTATTTACATTGCATTTATTGGCAACCCAGCGTTCACTCACATGAATAACTTTTGCAGCCTAGTTAGACTGTCTGCACAATTATGAAATTGTTCTATTGACTTGATTTAGGGGTTCTGTCTGTTATTGAAATACCCCAAAATTTTCCTTTTACATGAAAACAGTACTTTATATATGTTATAAGTGAAATGAAAAGTATAATTTATTACAATTCAAACTTTATGTGTAGGCAAAATTATAAGAAGATATTTTCATATCTTGGAATCTTTACTTTTCTCAGCTTCCTGTCAATAAAAAGGCTCACACTGCCTTTTAAATAAAACTTCTTAGATAGACAGATAGATAGATAGATAGAGGTCCAGGATTTACATAAAATGTGTACATATATAAAATATATGTATAAAGATATATTTAAAGTTTAGATCATGAACACTGGATCTGTATGAATTCATTTCATATCCTATCTAAAACCATCAATTTATTTTAGTGAGTATTATTTATTTTAATATACCATGATATGTGGTATTTAGTATGTGGTGAGAATAAATTGGCTAAATAAATTTAAAACACATAATTATGATTTCATAATTTCAGAGAAATTGTCATTACACATTCCTATATATTGTGATTAAAACTTTTAACAGCCTGAAAACTATTGTTAGATTAGATAGCAAACAAATTTCTTATTAATGAGAGTATTTTAAATTCTGATTTTGATGAACTTCATTGAAATTTATCTTGTTTGGATTTAAATTGAGTCTAAATAATTTATGTATAATTACTAATTTCTCCGATCAGCTCTAGACAAAATTTACTTTCACTTAGTTCATTTTTCAAATATCTTTTTTATTAGAACATATTTTATCAATTGCTGACTCTTCACTCTTTATAACTTAACATCTAAAAATACAAACTACAAATATATAATACGACACAATTAATTTCTTTTGTAAATTTGAAGTGCTGAACCTATCATTTATAACTACATTTTTATTTCAGGCAATTGCATTTATAGTTGGTTAAATTAATACACTCTCCAAGGAACACACAAAAAAATGAGCTCATCTTTTGCAATGTTGAATTCAGAGGTGAAATATACAAATTGAGCTGTGTATTGGATGGTTATCATTTCTAAATTCCAATATTCATAAATTATGCATCACATGCCATAAATTTGACCATGTTTTATTTATAGTTGTCTTGGTGTCTGTGTTCAAATATCATCTGATTAATCATAGGATGTTACCATATAAGGCATATATTAAGACACTCTGACACTGCCATGTCATATTAAGCAAATTACTTAAAATATTAGTATAACTGCAGATTATCTTGTCCTATGGAAAAAATTAATAAGTTAATGTTGAACCAGTATTTAACATTTTTATGATGTATGTGTGCATGTATATAATTTCTCTGCGTATGAATTAGTATTTTTCAATATTGGGGAATATTTTAAGCGGTATCATTTTACAAGGGATAAAATGGGCTGCAGTTTCCACCCTGTACCATATTTGATGGAGTCTTCTTTTCATTAACAGTGTAAGAGGTTTAAAAATGTACAGGATTCCAGGCAGAGCTCTTCTCTTGAAGACCTGATTGTCTAGTGGGACACTGAGAGCAAGAAAAGCAGAGCGGGTGGAAAGTTTAGGTAGAAGACAGACGTTTCATACAACTGTTCTGGTCTTTCAGAGAATTTCAACTAATTCAATTGATCTTACATCGTTCAATTTTAGTTGCTTCCCATTAATATTCTGGTGCTGAATATTTAGGTTATTTTAACTTTTACTATTTCACAATATAGCTGAAATAATGGGGTGGTCTTTAACAAATAATGAAAGAACAGAATAAAACCCTCAAAATTATTAGAAAAGCAAAAATGTTTTAAATGTTTTAAAACACATAGAACAAAATGAAGCTAGTAGTAGTTAAAAACATGTAACAGTAACAGGCATCGGTTTCTTTATGACAAGTCATTTTTTAAACCCAATTGTCATTTTGGCACTTTCCACCAAATTACTTTCAGTCAATTTGTTTTTAGCCACATATGATGTCAGAGAGGAGGATAAGGGAGAATGCTGAACAGATAAAAAAGAACCAGGCTATGTGTAAATAATAATTTGTAATGTTATTTATTTGTGTATTTTAAAAGATTCTAAGGATGTTGTTTTGAAGTGGATTAACAATTATTAAAACTACTCATCTTTTTAGGTTATTTGAATATTAACCTATGGAAAAATGTATGCTTAATGCGTTTTTACCCTTGTAAGAAATAAAGATATGGTTTGCTTTATACAAGAATGCTCCTAGTACTTGAAAATATATAGACTGTCTTTAAAAAATTCAGGATTTATTACTGCCTATATTGGTTGACGTGGTATAAGCGGGGCAAGGTTGGGGGGACTCCAAATACTACTATAATAATAATAATTATTATTATTGTAAATAAAAACAAAACAAAACAAAACTAAACTAAAAACAAAACCAAAATCCTGTGATTTGTATTCCTTCTCTTAATAATTCAGTGATGGGGCTGATTTTGAAAGACTACTTTTCTTATTAGAATAAGATCCAATGCAATAGTATTTGAACTGATTATGTGATAGGAAATAAACCAACATGTTATAATCTGTGATAAATTTGGAAATAACAGATCATTTACATGGAGTTTTAAATGCCTGGTATTATTGTTTGTTCATAAATTTGATATACTTGGAAGATATTGGTCTTTGCAGTTATTAAATGTATATATTTTGAGATCCTAATCAGCAAATAATTTTGCTAACAAGGTATTATTTTCTATTTTAGATAAGTATAAAAGTTAAAATTACACATTTTTTAAATTTAGAAAATGTTTTCATTTACCTCCAGTCTGCCTAAACTGTTTAAGAAATCTTACCTTGAAATAAGGAGTTATTATAACAATTAGTAAACAAGAAGTATCTTTGTCCATATACATAATCTTTCTTCATTTATAATGTCGTTAAAGTCAGTTCTACTTTATGATAATGGTAGATCGCACTCCAGGCTTTACCCATTTTCCCTAGTGATTAATGCAGCACCACTGAGTTTTAAGAAGGTTGTTTTCTTAATCTGACTGGCCAGGAAGCATTTTCCCTGTCGAAAAACAGGTGTAAACATCAATATTCAAGATAAGAGAGCGATCTCATGCTGTTTTCTGGTGTATCCAGTGTAGAAAATTCAGCGGGTAGAGTCTACAGAGTGAGTAGGGCTATTTATCAGCAGTAAAGTACTAGAAAATGTTTGGTGTGACTCAAAGACTTTAACTGAGAGAATGACAGGAAACCTTTTAATACAAAATAATCTGTCAAACACTCGGAATATATGAGGGCTATGTGACAAACATGTGAAATCAAACCTCAGCACAGTAATTATTGGTAATTTGGAAACTGTTTCTAATTTCCTCACTGTGTAGATTACATGCCTATTCACTTTAGACAAGATTTGACTCTCTGAGGATCTCACTGAAGTTCTCATAGCTTGACACTGGCTGTATTGTTTCAATGTTCTCTGTGCTGCTCTTCATATTTTCAGCTGATTTTTAGTGAAAGGAAAGAGGATTTGGGCATTAAACACTATTCTTTCTGGGTTTTATTTTTTCTGTATTTGAAGCTACACTTAACTTTTGGCAACTTAACTAATTATGGATTAGAGGTTCAATGTTACACTTCAAGTATATGTTCAGTAACCCCTCCTAGGTATGCCGTATTAAAATAAATCATAAACCTTTCAGAATATCGGGTGCCATGCTAGTTGACTCAATACTTGTTAAAGACTCCTAGGTACTGCAAAATTATTAGAAGGCGTTACCAGTTAACCAGGGTAAGAATTGCAAGACTCTAAACTGTGCATTAACCTCATTTGTGAGAACAGGAGAAGCAAAATAACAATAATAATAACAATTGGCTTCTTTTGTTTGTTTGTTTCTAAAGATTGCTCTCATTTCCTATCATTAAGTCTTCCTAAAAGAAGAAAAAAATCAAAAAGCATTTAACATGCATTTACACATTGATCGTTAACATTTTGTTAATCTTATATGGTGGTATATGTGTTTATTTCTGTATGTGTCATTCTGTTTACTTCTTTGACAAAGCATGTCATTTTTTTTTACCTACATGTTTTTTGCTACTGCATGTCAAACTTTTTAAATGACTCAGTGAACAAATGAATTCTTGTCATTTTACATTTTACTCTAAATATTGAAAATAACCTGCTTACTCTCAAACATTGCTCCAAGTCTTTGCTTTGTGTTGGAGCATGAAAAAGAAGTGAAAAAAATGACAAGAATTGTGTGACACAGTTTTGTACCTGATATTCTGTTAAAGCTTGTTAAAGTTAAACCTCAATAAGTTATATGTATTTATAATTTGAATCATTTGTGTTTCTCTTTTGTTTGCATGATATGATTTTGTTTATATTTTTTTTCCACTCACCAGATGTTCCCAACACTTTGCTTCCCACTACTATCATCCCCTCCCTTACCACTGCAACAGTCACAACCACTGTAGCCATAACAACCAGCCCAACCACATCTGCAACAACCAGCAGCATCAGAGGTACAGTATGTTTCTTTGTTATAGCCTGGAAAGCACATTAACTGGAGCTCTGTAGAAGTTTTTAGAAAGGTTAAAAACATTGAGATTCAATTTTACTTAATTATGAGAAGTAATTAAGTCACCTAAATTGCTATCAATTAGGGTTATTGGAATAGAATATGAGAAATGATGGTACATTTTATTTTTTTTAGTGTTACTTAAGACTATTATCAAAATCTTGCAGAATATAGATTTAAAATATATGGGACTTTAAAATGTTGGTCAAATTTAAAATGTTAGCATGGGACACAGTTTTTGCCTGTCTTGAGAGGTAAACAAATAAATAAGATGTTCATGTGTGCAGAGGTAGCTTTTACTTTTTTAAAATTCTAGTTTAATATTAATAACTTGCCACTCCTCTGCAACTATGTTAAAATATCTATAGTTTTGAAATTGTTCTAAAATTGACATAGTCCATGGGGTCAGTATAAATTATTCTCCACATAGAACTTGCAAGTAAATATTCAAAATACATGTATCCCAAAGTGATTTGCTGAGTGAAGCTACTTATTCTACTAATAGAATGTTCTAAAAGTAAATATCTGTTGTCTCAGATGGCTCCATGAGTAATTTCTGATATCATTATACAAATAAGAATTTTATTTCAAAGAAATCAACCTTAAAAAGGTGGGAATATCCATAAAGGCAGAAGAAGTAACTATGTTGTGGTTGAGAAATATAAAAAGTATTCCTGAGCAGTCATTAAGTGGTTAGCAGCTGATGAGGAAATTAAAAAAAAATGAAGCCATTATAGAAAAACATGGTTTAATTTCTACATAAGCAGTGCTCAGAGAGAATTTGTCGTATTTAAGTCTGTCTTTTTCTTATTTCTTATATATGTTTCATGTCACCTTGGCTCTACTAATATCTGTGAAATTTAACAATTTAACTTGAAATTAATGAGGACTTTATATTATTATATTTAATTCAGTTGTATGAAGGTTATGTTTAGCATTATTATTCATAATTATTAAAGGTTGTTCAGTTAGATGGTTTTCTTGGAATTTTAATTAATTCTAGATATTAAGTTGATTTGCCGTCTTTGATTTAACAGTTATAATAGTCTTTGTTTCAGAAAAAATTCTAATGTCTGATAATTTTCCATTTTTTAATAATGACATCAACTATATTATACAATGTACAAGATTGATGACTAAATAAGTTTAATGGTAGTAGCAATAAGAATTTCTCAGAAATAGCTAGGTATGTTTTTGTATGACTGAACTTTATTTAAGCTAAATCTGTAAGTGAGAAGAGTGTGAAGGTCTTTCTTGTAAAAAATTATATAAAAATGGGAAAAGAGACATAATGAAAATGAAGAAAAAGTTAGAAGTGCTTTATAATATTATGTAAAATGAAAGTTATCTAAAGTTCTACTTTGCTTTAATTTGTGATGCTCTGTAAGGTTTTTCACAAACGGCAGTCTAAATAAAATGTAATCATTGCATACTAACACAATATCTGCTATACTATTAAGTTCTGACTATATAAACAAATCACTTCAATGGGAAAGGAGGGAGATATATTGACTTTTTTTAAAAGATCCATTTGTAACACAAAAATCTAATATTCAATTATGCCTTCTTCTTCAACAAATATGTATTGAATATATGCTATATGTATGGTGTTATGCCAGGACCTAAAATTATGACAACTACTGGCATCTAAAATCACTAGCAATCAAATGTATACATTTCTCCCCACCCCCAACAAACAGTTTTTGTGCTTAATCTTTATTGAAAAGTACTATTGTTCTTTGTGGGAAAATATTACATGTGGTCTTCCGGTCTTTTGAAAAAAAAATCCATAGTATTTTGCTTCAGAGGACTATATATATGTATATATATATAATTCTGTTTCAAAGGACTAAATATCTATCTATCTATGTAATTTCAAACCTACACACACACATTTACACACACGCCATTATAGACTATTATATGAGAAAAATATTTCAAAGTGAAACTAACAACATTCTTTTACATTGGTTCACATGAATCTTAAGTGGGATTTGGTCTATTGCATTTTTTTTCCTTCCAACTTTTATTTTAGGTTCAGGAGTACATGTAGAAATTTGTTACATTGGTAAACTAAATGTTGCTGGGATTTGGTGTACAAATTATTTTGTCTCCCAGGTAGTAAGCATAGTATGTGATAGGTAGTTTTTTGATCCTCACCCTCCTGGACCCTCCCATCCTCAACTAGGTCCCAGTATCTATTGTTCCCATCCTTGTGTCCATGTGTCCTCAATATTTAGCTCTGACTTATAAGTGAGAATGTGCAATATTTGGTTTTCTGTTCCACATTAATTTGCTTAGAATAATGGCCTGCAGCTGCATCTTTGCTGCTGCAAAGGATATGATCTCATTCTTTTTAATGGCTGCGTAGTATTTCTAATGCATATGTACCACATTTTCTTCATCCAGTCCACCACTGATGGGCATCTAGGTTGATTCCATGTCTTTGATATTGTGAATAGTGCTGCAATGAACATATGTGTGCGTGTGTCTTTATGGTAGAACAATTTATATTCTTTTGGGTATATACTCAGTGATGGGATTGCTGGATGAAACAGTAGTTCTGTTTTAATTTCTCTGATAAATCCCTAGGCTTCTTTTCACAGTGACTGAACTAATTTATATTCCCACCAGCAGTATGCAAGCATTCCATTTCTCTGCAAACTTGCCTGCATCTGTTATTTTTGACTTTTTAATAGCAGTCATTCTCACTGGTGTAAGAAGGTATTTCATTGCGGTTTTGATTTGTGTTTCTCTAATGATTAGTGATGTTGAGCATTTTTTCATATGCTTGTTAGCCACACACATGTCTGCTTTTGAGAATTATCTGTTAATGTCCTTTGTCACTGAACTAAAATCAGTGGTTTACTCTTTCTGGTAAATTCACTTTTTTTCAGGTTTCTTAACATGTTTTTGTAAACTTTACACCATGGATGCTTAAAGTGCTCAGATAATTTATTTTTCCCTTAAACACTCAACCAACCTCCAAGAAGACACACATGCGTACACACACAAAAAGATATGAACAAAAACCAATCCCTCTTTTTTAACTTAAAGTTTGAAAGATAACATTTTTAAAGAAATCACACAAAAATATTTTTTTAAAAAGTTTTTTTGTAAGCTGGGAAGTTCATATTATCTATTTTAAAAGAAAAAAATAGTAGCATTGAATTTTAATGTTAGCCTAACGCCCATTTTTCCTTCTATCCTCATCAAACATCTGAGGACTGCCTAAGTCACCAGACTCACCTGCATCATTAATATTCTAGTTCATAACTGAAAGTGTGGAGGATTCATTTAGTATGTAAACAATGTTATCAATTTTACACTGTATTCTTTCAAATTATGTGACGTTGTTTCTTTGTGAATTGCCTTTTAAATTAAAACTTTTAGATGCAATTATATTTGAAAATCATTTATTTATAAGTTTGTGAAAGATGGTTCAAAATCATGATTAAAAAGGATTCATAATAAGAATATATTGCCTACGAAAAGCTGAGACCTAAACAGAAAGAATATTTTCAACTTGCAGCATTTCTTTTTGGTTTACTTATTTCATTCCTTTATCTTATTCAATAATTTGAAATCAACTAAATGTATTTGATTTTATTAGGTTTAAATTGTATTTCTTCAAATTTCATAAACTATAGCATTTATCTCCATATTTTTAATAAATGATCACAAATAAATCACTGTTAATATCTCCATTTACACTTTTACAACTCCTGCTATTGCTGGATTTTTCATCCTATGATATGTTAAACCAATTTAAAATACATTTAAAGAATCACAGCTGTATCTATATTAAAAATCAAGATGAAATGGAATGAAAGAAACTACACTGGATTGACAGTGTCATAAACTTGAGAATTTGCGCAACTCTTCAGCTTGTGTTTAAAATGCATCCCTATTTGGAGGAAGAAGAACTTCAACCACATGGAATAAAAACAGGCAATTAGTATCTTATTACAAATAAGGATGTTAAAACACAGAGAAATGAACCAACTTGGGCAGCTATGGGAAAGAGCTGGATTGAGCCCTGGATACATCTTTGGATATGAGTTTCAGTTATTTTGTTTACAAGATGTTTGACCTTCGACGGTGCACCAAATTGAGCATCAGTGTTTTCATCAGAAAAACATGAAGCACAGGTTTGACTTGAGAGTTATATAATATCTAAAGTTATGAAAACATAAGCAATACTCAATAAATGACAGAATTATTTTTTCAGTTCGTTTTAGTAAAACAAACATGTTTACCAGCAGTTGTATCATACCATTAATGAAATGGTAGATTTTCCCCTATAATTACAGTTTTAATCTGGCAAAATTCTTTGGTGTTAATGCACTAATTACTTTTTCATTTCAATTCTATTTTTTTGATTGTATGAAACAAACATTAGATGAAAATTATACTAGAGCATATGGTACCATTTATATCTATCTGTCTATCTACCTATCTATCTATCTATCTATCTATCTTTCATCTATCATTCATCTACCATCTGTCTGTCCTTTGAAGTATAACAGTTCATATACTTTTCATGAAGTTTAAAGTATTCTTAATCTATATCATTTTAATTGTTTCAGCTTTTGGAAATTGCGTAATTTTTTACAGTGGCCTAACCAACCTTAAAATTCAGATTATATATATACATATGTGTATATATATGACACACATAATATATTATACATATTATATATGATCTATCTTATATTATACATAATACAATGCTCTGTATTATGTTATATATGATATATGCTTTATATTACATATGATGTGTACAATTATTCCGATTATATATTATATATCATATGTGTACATATATGTGCACATATGTACACATATATTATGTATGCACATATATTATACATGTTACTTTTTTAGGTCATTGTGATTTTTTAATTAACTTAATATAGTCATTTATAAAATAATTCCAAGTGACTTTGATATGATTTCTAGTATTAATATAAGCATTATTTTAGCATGGAATGTTTAATTTAATAACGTTCTCATTTTTATCATATAATTTTAATTTCATAATAAACCATGTCATAATCTAGTAATCTTTAGTAGCATCCTCATTTTATAGATGATGTTAACTTATTTCAAATTCAGGAGACATATGAAACATAGTTATATATTTAAGTGGTTATGTTTATTTATCATAATTTTTAAATAAGAATTTATAACTGAACTTTTATACTTAGGACAGAAAATTTTCTAAGCTAACAATTGATATTTGTTTTTACCTGCACAGGACAGTAAATGCACTAAATGTAGAGATGATCTGATAGATATGGAAAGATGTAAACCAGTATACACTGTCCTATTACTAAGAGTGGATTCAAATACACCATACATTTCAATGTACCAGATAGGGAAAGAAATCCAAAAAATGGTGATTAAAGTGTTTACACAATCCATGTAAAACTTCAAATGAATTGTTGATTCAAATATAGATTTAGTTTTACATCAGTCTTTGAAATGGTAGAATTATAATTTTGTACTAACAAAAACTACATTATTTGTCTGGTAATCTCAACAAATTTAATTGTAATGAGATTCGTTGCAACAGAACCTTAGTTCAAAATGGTACGGCACACAGGAAAAAAAAGGATTTTTTTAAACTGAAGAAATCAAACTGTCAAAATATCTAGAACTAGAGTTATATTGACAAAACTCACAACATTTTAAGATGTGTACTCAATTCTTAACAATTTAATTGTGCATTAGTTGCCTTGGTCTGTTTGGGGTGCTATAATGAAATTTAACTCAGTGACTTACACATAACAAATATTTACTTCTCAAAGTTCTGGAGGCTGGGAAAGCCAAGATCAAGTCATGGGTACATTAGTTGCCTGTTAAGGGCCCATTACTCATAGATGATGACTTCTACCTGTCTTTCCATGTGTCCTCACATTGTGCAAGGGGCAGAGCAGCTCTCTGGAGCCTCTTTTATACAAGTACATATCACGTTCATGAGGGCTTCACCTCATGATTTAATCACTTCCCCAGGCCCCAGCTCTTAATATCATCACCTTGAGGGTTAGGAATTCAACCTCTGAATTTTCAGGAGGACATTTGTGTCCTCAGGAGGACATATGGTCCAACAGACCACAGCACTACTGTTGTGACATATGTTTAAAAAGGTAACGTTAACTAAAATACTTAAAATGATTCTCGAAGAATAGAATGATTTTTAGTATACGTCTGGAATGACTATAAAACCAGTCTAGAAATTATAGACCCATAATTTTTAGCCCATATAATGCCATTGTATTTTTAAATCATGTGCATCAGAAAACTTAATTCTTTAAATGTAGATGAATTTAGGGATCTGTTTGTATCACTATAATCCTAAAACATTGCTTTCTGAAAGATCTTAATAAATAACTACTTTTTCACTCTAAAAGCATTTGAAACCATCTTAGTGACTTGTAAAAAAAAATCATATACACAAAGTTGAGCTATATAAATTGAAAATAAAACAAAGTTAAGTACACACTTTGGGCCATTGTTGAAAGGTTGGGATGAATTGTCAAACTCATATTTAATGTGGACATTTTAAATGAACTACAGTTGCCTAAAATGTGCACTACGAAAGAGTTTCATTTATATTCAGATTCTCTTACCTCAATTGTTTCATTTTTCTGACTTCAAAATAAAATAAGCTAAAGCAAACACCACATGACATATGTGCACTTCAAACCACTGTCTGAAGCATTTATTTAATTAAACCAGGTTAAGAATCAATAATGTTCTATCCTGCCCTTCTATTCTCTACATCCTTTATATCAAAAGAAATCAAGTCTATCTTTACTTAATTTTTATTTGGTTTCATTACTGTGTCTCTCTTTTCCTTCTTGGTTTAAATGCTTTAAAAACAGAATACAAAGAAATAAAGAAACATCAGAATAAAAGAAAAAGCATTCCAGTACTGAGGGAAAAAAATGAATGGAATAAAATCATTATAGCTCTGAGTTAATCACCATAAATGTACTCAAATAGAACATTTGGAGTAGTAGAATATATCATCTTGACACAGTTAAATCCCAAAGTGTGCAAATCAAGAAGTTGTTTATGAGATTCTATTATGAGTGTTTAGCTATTAAAAATCTTTTTTGTTTTATTGGTGGTAATAAAACACAATTTGCACAATGTTGTGAGCTTTTAAAAATTAAGTGTCAATATGTTGGGGTTTCTTTTCTTGACAAAAATTAAGTAATTATTCAATATCCAGATGGTCCATATAGAGAAACCTGCTTATCTACAAAAAGACTGATTTCTATGTTTAGGGTACAAAAATAGTTTAATTTTCACTAGTCTTTTAAAAAACAATCATGATTATGTTTAGTTGATTAAGTTTTAAAACTAAATATCTAAAATAGTTCATAGTGAAAACAAGGTAGAAATGCTTAAGGAACAAGCACCATATATGTTCTATAGGTGGAGGTACTTTCAACCTTGCTGCGAGTATCACATCGTACATGCTTTTGGAGTGGCTGCAGGCAGGATGTGGGTAGGAATACTGGCTTGGGGGTCCAGGATTTTTAGTTAGCCATGGACCTAAATATTTGAATAGTTGCAATGTATCAAGTTGTGTTATTTCAGGTTAGCATCGAGTGCTAAAGTTTTTATTTATATTCTAATAGACCTTATTTGGTCTATTAGAATCAACATATATAACATATCATTGGTTATATATAACCATTTCCAAAACTAAATTGAGCATTTCCATCTGACTTGAATGAAGTTGAACTCTGACACAATTTGAAAATCTTTAAGTATTTACTGACTTGTTTGCTGCATTTGGAAAATATCTGAGAAAACCTTGTATTTATATTTTCTTTCCACTATTACCTATTAAAGGAAGCAGAACATTTATGCTCTCTTCTATTTTCTAAGGGCACTCTTGTGACTTGCATAATTTAAAACATCAAACATTTTTTAAAGTTTCATTTTAAACTTATTTATTTCTTCAGCTTCCATCAATTTAAACAGAAATCTTCATTCTATTAGCTTTCATTTCTTTTAAATAAACAGGTCTATTTATATAGCAATGAAAATATATTTTCACTGCTCTACATTTAGAAGTGTCTTAATTGATTTTATAGTAGTAACCCAAGATTTAATATAATCTAACAGTATATATGTTTTCTGAAAAACAATCCCTAAGAAAGAAAAAAAGTTCCCCAGTATAAACCATTAAAAAATTCATTTTTATATAATATACATGTTAAAATAAATAAAATTGTTATAATAAATTATAATTATTATAATTAAATATTATAATAAAATATGTTTATATTTATATAATTTATAATATAAATTTATATTTATATAAAATAATATAATAAAAATAATATATAAATAATTAAATATAATTATTATAATTTCAGAAACTATGTTTCCTATGAAATATCGAGGCTAAAGTGAGTTATTATTAATCTGTTCTATATTTAAGAAGCATATTCTACATATATAAGTAAATGTATTTCTAGAACATCTCTAAATTTAAAAAAAAATCATTAATAAACTGGCTGTATCTTTCTTACTAACCAGTGAATTAAATTTACAAGCTGTGCCTTTGAAGCTGAAAAGATTGCAGGCACTGCCCTTGCTTCTTTGACACTCCACATGAAACACAGTTAATAACCTCCTGTATAAGCTTGGTGAAACACCGAATTGATACTAATTATACCAACTTTGGGATAGAAGATGACCTTGACTTCAGCTGGAACTTTCTGCCAGGACAATAAATAAGAGCAAATGCCACAAAGCGTGACTTCTGAGAAGGGTCTAATACAATCTATTAACTTTCGGGAGTTCATGGAATTCCAATAAGTGTTCAGATAATTGTAATATTTTAAAACATCTCTTGCTTCAATAATACAGTAGTTTCTTATTTCTCTAGACTTCAAATAATCCCCCATTAGTTTTCTATACTCATTTAAATTAAGCTATGGCCAGAAAATTAAAAGCTACTTGATGGAAAGTGTGTATAAGGTAACTACAAGACAAGGAAGCAGATTTTTCTGAATACCTTCTGAAATATGTACATAACATTTATACAGTTTTAGTATCAGAACTGCTTTTAGCGAAGCTATGACAACACTGTTTCTTAAATAAAGAAATATATCTATTAAATGATTGAGAAAAACGACTAAGAAAAAGAATTTGCCCCAGTGAGTCCACAGGTTTAAACTATTGGAAAAAACCTGTCAAGATCAATAACGTGTAGCTGTGTCACAGTTAAAATTTTGATTTTAACAGAGTTAAAAAAGAAAGGGTCAATAAAGTTACTATAAATGCTAACAGGTAAGAACAGAAATTAAACTCTCTTCACCAATATTGTTTAAAGAATTACGTTTGTGTCCAGAGAATTCTGTTCAAATGGTTCAGTTATAATAAATTAAAATACCTAGTTTAGGTCCACTTATTTTTCATCTTAGAAAAAAGAGATGGACTCAAATATGCCCAGAGCTGTTTTGTTACTGACTGGTAAGCAAAGAAGGCTGAACAATGAGTGTTTACATGGGCAAAAGAGAAAGCAACTGTGAACTAACATGAAATTACATCAGAGTCATTGAGAAGCATGTGTTTTCAAAAACATTTAAACCAATTTTGATATTTAAAAAGCGGGTTCTATAATGAAGGACAATGGTATTCTAGGGTAGTCTGGTTTACACTGGGTAAAGTACAATGCTCTTAGTACAATTTTTTTCTCTTAAAGTCATCTTTTAAAAATATTAATTTTAAGCCCCATTCCTCCACTCTGTTACTCTGGATGTCAGCAGGAAACTAATGGCCATCTCAAAGGGGTGGAGCCAAAGTGTGTAAAATAAGGAGACTTTTTAACAGAAGGACAGGCAGTTTTTGGAAACTAATAAAGTAGGAAAAGCACAAGAGAACTGTTGGCTACAGTAAGATGCTATTAGCAGCACTAGGCCAAAAGAGCCAAAGGAAGTGAGTGAAGTTATCCTAAGCAAAGAAAAACTGGAGCCATTTTTGGGTACCACTTAAAAGGAGCAGCAGTCAAGCAAGGACACAGCCAGTATCAGAACCTCAAGAAAACGAGGACACTGGGGGACAGGGGACCAAAATTCAGACCACTTTTTTCTCTTGCCTTTCAATAGGATATTCTGTTAATTGAATTCATCTGAAAATCAAGGTCATTGCAGAGAAGTCAGCATTCTAGAGCACAGAACAGGGCAAAACAGGACGAAAGATGGATTTGGAGACCAAATGGAGAAGGAAGAACAGAGATACGTGTGCTCCAAATATGACACCCAACTTCTTTACTCAGAGCAGTTACATGTCAGATTATATTTTAGTTTTTCATTTCTCCTATAGGCATACATACTACAAGTCTATAATAGAAAACTAGTGGCTGGGCGCGGTGGCTCACGCCTTTAATCCCAGCACTTTTGGAGGCTGAGGCAGGCGATCACCTGAGGTCAGGAGTTCAAGACCAGCCTGCCCAACATGGTGAAACCCCGTGTCTACTAAAAATACAAAAAATTAACTGGGCATGGTGGTGGGCGCCTGCAATCCCAGCTACTCAGGAGGCTGAGGCAGGAGAATCGCTTGACCCGGGAAGGGGAGGTTACAGTGAGCTGAGATCGCACCACTGCCCTCCAGCCTGGGCGACAAGAGAGAAACTCCATGTCCAAAAAAAAAAAAAAAAAAAAAAAAAAAAAAAGAAGACTAATAATGGAGTTAGAAATGGTGGTAAATGGAAATACTTAAAAACACTTAACAATTCACTTTAATACAGATGGTCTCCAAATTAGATAGTTTCATTTAAGATTTTTTTGCCTTCACGATGGCACAAAAGTGATACACGTCAGTAGAATCCATACTTTGAGTACCAATACAACCATTTTGTTTTTCACTTTCAGTCAGTATTCAATAAATTGCATGAGATATTCAATACTTTATTATAAGATAAGCTTTGGGTTAGATCATTTTGCCTAACTGTAGGCTAATGTAAGTGTTCTGAAAATGTTTCAGGTAGGCTAGGCTAAACTGTAATGTTCAGTAGGTTAGGTGTATTAAATACATTTTTGACTTATATTTTTAACTTACAATGGGATTATCTGGACATAACGCCATCATAAATTTAGGCGCATCTGTATGTGATTGCTTATTGCAGGCTGCGTTGGGAAAAGACAGACTCTAGAGGATAGAGGACGCATTATGGAACTTGATAAGGCTGCTTTGTTAGTAGATACTAACCTTATAATTTCTAAAATTAAATATGTTTATGCATTTCACTTGCTTAAAACAATGGCTGGTTCACAATAAATAATAAGGGTTAGCTTTTATAATAATTATTCACAATTTTCTTAAAATTACCCATCCAAAAAACAGAGGATAAAAATGACTTTGTTCTTTTGTGAATATCAATGAGATTATCTGGCAACTGCTAGGTGAAGGCTGAAATCTATCGTAGATAGACCATCCTTTAAAGCCATGCGAGGCTTCTTAGAAAATTAAGCTATGAATATGTCTCTCTTGATTTCAAGTAAGTAGTTAAGTGTGGCACATTATGCCAACCCCCCAAAATGCCATTTTGTCATAAGGATTATTTTGAACTAAAGGCACTTGAGAACCAGTAGGTAGAGAAAGGACACTGATCTCCCCCTTCCTCCCTTTAACAGGAGAAAAGGAACAATCTATCACCAGAGATGGGAGATAAACCCTGGTGGGAAAGATGCCAATCCCTGTAGCAGCATAAAAGAAATATTGTCACAGGGACTGGGAGTTAAGGCTAAGAAAAATCTGTACAAACACAGCTTGTTAAAATAACTCTTATCTTCATTATCCCCCCACACATTTTAATTATTTTTGCACTATGGCCATCCTTTATTCAACCTACTGTATAATCACTTGGGTTTTCTCACTTCTTTGGCTCCTCATTTTCCGTGATGACTTCCAAATACATGTAAAACAAATATTTATTCTTTTATTCTGTTTAGTTTGTTTTATGTCAACTTAATTCTCAGGCCCAATTGAAGACTAAGAAGGCAGAGATAAAGTTTTGCCTCTTCTATAGTAGGATAAAACAGAATTGCATTGTAATTCTTAATTATTCAATTTAATGAGATCAGTTATCAAATAAATAAAAAACAATTTTTAAACAAAAGTAAGCCATTTATAAGTAATCTACCTTGCCAAATATTAACACACCCATTGCAATAATAAGTTAAGGTAATGGCCTTTAGTATCAGAAATAATCTGGTTTGGATGCCAAGTGCATGATATGCAAGTTATAGTTTAAGATTTGGCTTCTCCAACTCTAAAATTATTACGAGCATCAAAATAAGTAAGGACTACAATTTTCAGTCATTATCATAATATGGCTGATATTCTAAATACGAGAAGCTATTACTATAAAAATTTATTAAGGATATCGATTTAGCTTAAGGAATTTGGACTTATTAATATTAATTGATACCATTTTCGTGTTAAAATATATTTCATTATCATTTGCTATCATTGATTTATAAAACTCACTACTCATCTTTGATATATTGACCTATGAAGTCGCTTATTTGACTTAAAACAATCATTACTAAATCCAATTGATTGAAATACACTAAAACTTTTTCAGTAAATTAAATAACTATGAAATGTTTGGGATATTATCTAAACATATTCAAGATTAGGCAGAAAAACCACATTAGTTAAATTCCAAAAAGTTTTCGCTTCTTACTTAGTGTATTTTTCATTTTAAATAATTGTTCATCACAGAAAAATTAGCTTTTAAAATACTAAACAAAATAAAAAAGAGACTTCCTTATCCTGCATTATTGAAATAATCTGTTACATTTTGCAAATATTCTCAGAGATTTTATTTTAAACATATGCATGTGTACTGCTTATACAAAAAAATTGATGTGAAATATTTTTATTTTGCATGCTTTTTATCATTTATGTCATGATCATCTTAATATGTCAATAATTGTAATTCTGTATTTCTTAAGTTTTTAGTAAGTTTTAATGACCTTCCTCTGAATATGAAAATATTAATATATGGAGTCATTTTATTTTTCTAAATTTATAAGAATAATAATTTTACAATATTTTTTGCATTTGTTGTTAGGTATAAAACTATAGTGAAACATTTGAATACAGATAAGTTTAAGTTTTCATGTGTATATTTAAAGTACAGGCATGCTTTGGAGATATCATGGGTTCAGTTCCAGATCACCGCAATAAAGCACATATTACAATATCATGAGTCTCACACATTTTTGTTTGTTTCTTAGTGCATATAAAAGTTAACTATCCCATAGTCTATTCAGTGTGCAATAGCATCATGTCCATAAAAACAATGTACGTACCTTAATTTAAAGTTGTTTTATTACTAAAAAATGCTAATGATCGTCTGAGTCTTCAGTGAGTTGTAATTTCTTTGCTGCTGGAGCATCTTGCTTTGATGTTGATGGCTGCTGACTGATCAGTGAGTGATTGCTGAAGGTTAGAGTGGTAAGGCAATTTCTTAAAATAAAACAACAATAAGGTTTGACACATTGATTGATTATTCTTTTCCTGAAAATTTCTGTGCGATTTCTGTTTGATGAAATTTTATCCACAGTAGAACTGCTTTAAAAATTAAAGTCAATCCTCTGATACCCTTCCATTGCTTTATCAACTAAATTTATGTAATATTCTAAATCCTTTGTGATTATTTCAGCAATCTTCACAGGGCTAGGCACAGTGACTTATGCCTATAATCCCAGGACTTCGAGAGGCCAAGGTGTGAGGATTGCTTGAGGCCAGGAGTTCAAGACCACCGTGGGCAACATAGCAAGACCTTGATTCTGCAAAAAATTCAAAACAAACAAAAAATAAAAGCAAAATAAAAACATTGGTCACTGTATCTTCACCAGGAGTAGATTTCAGCTTAAGAAATCATTTTATTTGCTCCACCATAAGAATCAACTCCCTATCCATTAAGTTTGATGATGAGATTACAGTGATTCACTCACATCTTTAGGCTCTACTTATAGTTATCTTGCTATTTTTACCATATCTGCACTTACTTCCACCACTGAAGTCTTGAATGTCTCAAAGTCATCTATAAAGTTTGGGATAAGCTTCTTCCAAACTCCTGCCAGTGTTGATATTTTGACTTCCTCCCAGGAATCACAAATGATCGTAATGACATCTAGAATGGTGAATCATTTCCAGTAGGTTTTTAATTTACTTTGCACAGATTCATCAGAAGAATCACTGTCTTGGCAGCTATAGCTTTAAAAAATGTATCTCTTAAATAACAAAATTTGAAAGTTAAAATTATTCCTTGATCCATGGGCTACAGAATGGATGTTGTGTTTAACAGGCATGAAAACAACATTAATGACCTTATACATCTCCTTTAGAGCTCTTGGGTAACTAGATGCATTGTCAATGAGCAGTAATATCTTGAAAGGAATCTTTTTTTTTTTCTTTTTCTGAGCAGTAGGTCTCAGTCTCAACATTGAGCTTAAAATATTCAATAAAACATGCTATAAATAGATGTGCTAACACCCAGGCCTTGTTATAACATTGATGGAGCACAGATTAGATATAGTATATTTATTAAAGGCCTTAGGATTTTCAGAATGGTAAATGAACATTGGTTTCAACTTAAAATCACCAGCTGCATTAACCCCTAACAAGCAAGTCAATCTGTTCTTAGAAGCTTTGAAGTCAGGCACTGGCTTCTATTCTCTACTTGTGAAAGTTATAAATGGCATCTTCTTCCAATAGAGGACTGTTTCATCTACATTTAAATGCTGTTGCTTAGTGCAGCTGCCTTCATTAGTGATCTTAGGTAGATGTTCTGGATAACATGCTATAGCTTCTCCATCAGCCCTTGTTGCTTCACCTTGCACTTCTATGTTCTGAAGATGACCTATTTTCTTAAGCCTTATGAACCAACCTCCACTAGCTTCAGACTTTTTTTCTGCAGCTCCTTCATGTCTTTCAATCTTCACAGAATTGAAGAGAGTTAGGGCCTTGGTCTGGATTAGGCTTTGGTTTAAGAGAATGCTGTGGCAGATTTGGTCTTAATCAAGACCACTTAAACTTTCTCTATATCAGCAATAAGGCTGTTTTGCTCCCTTATAATTTACATGTCCACCGGAGTAGCACTTTTCATCTCCTTCAAGAACTTTTTGTCTGCATTTACAACTTGACTGGCACAAGACGTGTAGCTTTCAGCCTCTCGTGGCTTTCAGCATGCCTTCCTCACTAAGCTTCATCATTTCTAGCTTCTGATTCAAAGTTAGAAATGTGTGCCACCTCCTTTCATTTGAATACTTAGAGATCATTGTAGGATTCTTAATTGGCCTAATGTCAATGTCTCAGGAACTAGGGAGCCTGGAGGAGAGGGAGAGGTGGGGAAAACAGCTGGTCAGTAAATTAGTCAGAACAGACACGTTTATCAATTGTGTTTGCCTTCCTATATGAGCATGGTTTGTGGAATCCCAAAACAATTACAATGGAAACATCAAAGATTATTGATCACATATCACTGTAACAGATATAGTAATGATGAAAGCTTGAAATATTGTCAAAATCCCCAAAATGTGACACAGACATTAAATGAGCACATGCTGTTGGAAAAATGGTGCCAGCCGACTAGGTCAATGCAGGGTTGCCACAAATCTTCGATTTGTTAAAAAAAAAAAAAAAAAAAATCATTATCTGCAGAGCACAACAAAGTGAAGCACAATAAAATGAAATATAGGCTACACAAACAGACAACAGCTGTTAGTGTTTTAAGGTCTAAGACATTTATGAGAATAATGAACATTGTGGTAAAATAGTACTTTGCCTCTTTACTTAATGGAATATTTTAACCAAAATTCCATATTTCTATAACATCTTAATATTTCAATAATGTGTTATTTAATACATGACACAATATACAGATTTTGGAATGTTCTCTTTTAAAAAGTCATATTGGTATTGATTTACAATTAAAGTGAGAGGTCTGCATTAAAATTATGGTGGAAAAATAGTATAAATGATTTTCTACATAACATGAAGTCACTCAATGTAAAACTTTATTCTTAAGTGACACTCAAGGTATGATGATATATTCATCATATGCTAAGTTTGTCATAATACCCCTGAATAATTTTAAATTCATTTGGAAATTTTAAAATAGTACAACAGAATGAAAGAAGCAGCCTTCAAAGCCATTTAACCTACTTTCTGCATCGTATTCTAAGTGAAGAAATGGAACCCCAGAGAAAATAAGATATTTACTTATGACCATACACTATTTATTTCTATAAGAAGCCTAAAATATTATTCTCCTGGATCATCCTTTCTTCCAAAATGATTAGTGATAGGTATTCTTTTTTATATAGAAAGTCTTCAGTTGATATATTCTAATTTTATACATAGTTCAAGTTACAAGACTCAGAAGAGATGGAAGAAAGGAAGACTTTAAAAATAAAATACGGGGTGGGCACAGTGTCTCACGCCTGTAATTCCAGCACTTTGGGAGGCCAAGGCGGGTGGATCACGAGGTCAGGAGATCAAGACCGTCCTGGCTAACCAGGTGAAACACCGTCTCTATTAAAAATACAAAAAAATTAGCCAGGCGTGGTGGCGGTCGCCTGTAGTCCCAGCTACTCGGGAGGCTGAGGCAGGAGAATGGCGTGAACCCAGGAGGCAGAGCTTTCAGTGAGCCCAGATCGTGCCACTGCACTCCAGCCTGGGCGACAGAGCAAGACTCTGCCTAAAAAAAAAAAATAAAAAATAAAAATAAAAATAAAATAAAATATAAGATTTTGTTCATTAATATTGTAAGACAAAAGCAGAGGGATCAAAATTTGAAGATTTATATTATTTAAATTTACTTTCAGACAATGCCACTAAGAATCATTACTTATTAAAGCCTGAAAGGCCTTGCCAAGTTAAAAGCTTCCATTTTTTCATTTACTTTTTTTTTTTTTTTTTTTTTTGGTCTGAGACGGAGTCTCACTCTGTCACCAGGCTGGAGTGCAGTGGTGTGATCTCAGCTCACTGCAACCTCTGCTCCCGGGTTCAAGTGATTCTCCTGCCTTAGCATCCCGAGTAGCTGGGACTACAGGCGCATGCTACCTAGTTGCAAAATTGGAACTAAAATTCACATACATATAATCCAATTTACTATTCTGTAAATCCTTCTTCATAGTACAACAGTTAATTTAGAAAATCAAATTAAGAAAAACAATACGTATAATATTTTTCTGGAAGCACCTATAAATGTGCAGAGGTGTTACTAATATTATTTTAATAATACATAGATAATACATTTGATCTAGTGAAAACTTTATTGTTCTGAAATATTCTAAGAAACTTTATAATTCTTCTTCATCAAATTCAGCAGATGTATATTATACATTATTTACTATACATCCCCATTCCAACCTTTTTGGAAACTTGTTTTTAATCTGAGAAGACAGTTATTGAGATTAGTTATTTTAATGGCTTTTCCTAAACATCTAGTTTTAGTGATTATTTGACCAAGTCTTAAAACAAGATAAACAATCCCTATTTTGATGCTTTTGAAATTCCTGTTCTTACACTTCTTCATCATTCCTACCAGTCTAGTAACTTTCTCTTCTATCCCCATTCTGGCCCTGAAAGCCTCATCTCATCAGAAGTGCTAAGTGATACATCGGTCAGTGTGGAGGTGTAATTGCTTTGTCTTCCATAAACTACTTTGCTAAAATCTATTCAAGGTCAAGGCTGTCACTTTCATCTCTCCGTGCAGTTTGGCTCTAAAATGAAAGTGTTTTGTTTAAATTATATTTGAAGGTTTAGGTGTTCAAAAACTAAAGGGAATCACTTCTCAAGTTTAATCTATGAGACACACCAAAAAAGTAACACAAACATAATTGCCTGAGCAGCAGTCAAATTTAAGCCTGCAGAATAAAAGCCCTGTGTATTATTTGCATAACTATAACTTAATTTTATTAGAACCATGAACTTTAATACTGTGTCCTTGATTATTCATTCATAATCTATAAGCTGAGGAACATAATTATGGATATGGAGCTGTTAGTGTATTGCAAATTACTACAAATTTGTAGTAATCTCATCACTGTTTTATTTTAAAACTTTTCCTTGAACTACTACTGGCCACAAATCATTGATTTCTTTAACTGGGAAAATGGAAACATCACTATTATAAGACAATGTCAAATAAAAATAATAATTCATCTTTTTGGAAACAACCTATCTTAAAATTTAGTAAAGTGAATTTTTTATCCCACTATGTTTGATGAATTTTAGATTTCATTGGGATACTTGTGCAATTGTGTTATAATAGTATAAAATAGGGAAAAGATGATGTTTTCACGTTTCCTACACAATTCATTTTTAGTTCTTTGTTTTTCATGCATTTCTAACTTGCTGTTATAAGATGAAATGAACACACCATCTAGAAATGCAAGCTGACTTTGCAGCAGGTTCTTTATAGGGACAGAACTTTGGAAGAGTCACCGAATTCCATGGTCTGTCTTCGTTTTGGTCAGGAGAAAATTTACTATATCAAAAAATTCAGTGAAATTAGGCTCTGAGAAGAAGAAATGTATCATTTATCATCAATTCATTCTGTAATTTTTTTGAACTTTTATTTTGCATTGAACATGTAGTATGATAAGCAACATGGATGACCCATGAAAAGGTTTTCATTGAGAAAAAACACCTGACTTAGAAGGAGAGGTGAGGGAAGAGGGTATTTAAGAGAGGATTTTTAATAGAGTAATCCCACCAGACATAGAAGGTGTTGGTACAATTAAAATGCTGGGGTAGCAGGGTTGGGGGTAAGAGTAGAGAATCATAGATACATAGATTTTGGATATAGCATATGTATTTTTTTAATTTCTATTTTGAAAAACTATTTTCATACTGTGATATAACAACTCCATGACTGATACTTTATTTTTTCTGTAGTTAATTTTCTAAATGTTGATAGTTTTATGACATTTCTCGTAGTTACAATTTTGTCCTCTCTGGAAACCTCAGGAATAATACGGCTTTCCTTGATCCTTAAATATGATTTTTATTTGCAAGATACATGTCTTCAAACACAAAGAGGAATTGGATATGCAAAGAAAAAGGAGAGGACAGCAAAAATATATAAAGAGAGCAGTACACATTTAGTTTGCCTAGAGTAAATCATAAAAGGTAAGCAGTCGTGAAAATAAATATATATTTATCTATGCACTTATTGATTGAATATTCAGTATTATTCTATAGATAGAAATAAGTAAATTATATGATATATAGTAGGTCACACTCAAAAGTTTAGAGCCTATTCAGGAAGTGATGAGAAACAATTTAAATGAAATGATAAAACGGTACTTAGGCTTTTGAAGATTGCTGTGATATAGTATGATGGATGGAAGATTGAGAAAGAAAGGAATGACAAGAAGCCATTGGAGAAATCTAGATAATTAACAATGAGAGCTTAAAGAAAGACAGTGGCCAAAGGCATGGTAAAAAGACAATTGTTCCAAGATATTATTTGGGAAAGTAAAATTGACAGATTTTTTAACCAATTAAGTAAGAAATTTTATTTTAAAGAATGAGAGATACCAAAGAACTGATGCTAGGATTTTAGCTTTGGTCTCTGGGTGTTTGGTGCAATTTATCAAAGTAAGAAATATAAGGGGTAAGGGTTTTATGGAAAAAAAATAATGTATTCCATTTAAACATGCAGAGTTTTAAAAAGCTTTGCAATAGCCAAGTGAAGATATCTAATTAACAAGTAGGATTGAGTCTAGGGAGGGAAATTCTTAGCAATTACAGCAAGACTCATAGCACCAAATGTTTCAGAGAGGCCAAGTGTGATAACCTGAAAAGTACTTATTTAATTTTGCCAGGCGTGGTGGCTCACACCTGTAATCCCATCACTTTGGGAGGCCGAGGGTTGGGGGGTGGATCACTTGAGTTCAGGAGTTCGAGACCATCCTGGTCAACATGGTGAAACCCCCATCTCTACTAAAACTACCCAAAATTTTCAGGCATGATGGTGTGCACCTGTAGCCCCAGCTACTTGGGAGGCCAAGACACGAGAATCACTTGAACCCGGGAGGTGAAGCTTGCAGTGAGCCCAGATAGTGCCACTGCACTCCAGCCTGAGTGACCAAGCTAGACTCTGTCAAAAAAAAGAAAAGAAAAAGAAAGAAGGAAGGAAGGAAGGAAAGAAAGAAGGAAGGCAGGAAGGCAGGAAGGAAGGAAGGGAGGGAGGGAGAGGGAGGGAGGGAAAGAGAGAAAGAGAAAGAAAGAAGGAGAAAGAAAGAAAGAAAGGAAAGAAAAAAGAAAGAAAGAAAGAAAAAGAAAGAAAAGAAAGAATGAAAGAAACTTATTTAATTTTTATACAGGGAGTGGTGATGAATTTAGAAAAATCAGTTTTAATGAAGTGATTAGATAAAAGTCAGACTGCAGGACTTTAAAAGTCGATGGGACATAAAATATAGAGAAAGTCACTGCATTCTATTATTTTAAGAATGTTGTCTGAGAAGAAAATGAGAGATATAAAACAGATAGAGGACAACGTAAATTCAGTTAACACTTTCAAAGGATGGCATAAATTAAGCATTTTTAAATGCTGTGAGAATGCTAGGGAGAAAAAAGAGATGTTGAATATATTGTTTAAAAAAGAGAAGCTGACAAAATAAAGCCACTAAGGGTTCAAGATGTCATGGAATTCCTTTTTTAAAATTCATACATTAGCCTTGAACACATGGCATCATTCTGTGTTTAATGAGTCTGAGGAGAGAAGATAAGTTTAGACACCAGTTTGCCAGAAAAGGGGGAAGTACTTTCAGGGAAAGTGGGAAATTAACAGAGCTTTTACTTGATGACCTGTATTTTCTCTATAAATTAAGAGGGGATTGTTTTCTAAAAAGGATAGAAAATTAGCATGGAGGGTACCTTTAAAAAAGTGGTGAAGTTTCTAAATAATGGCTGTGCAAATGAAAAAGAGGGCTTAGTAGGAACTTACCATGTTTCCTGAAAAAGATTTTCTCATTCATTCCTTGAATAATTATTATCTATTTCTATCAGGTATTATTGTAAACTCTGGGGAAAGAATAAAGAGCAAGATGGATATAGTCAATGTTTTTATAGGAAGGTGAGAAGATAAGTAATCTTTAAAATATATAGAGTTCTCTGATTTGCTGTACAAGGTCATCATAAAGGACTCTCCTAGGGAAGTGATATTTGCTAGATATGAGGGACTTGAGTAAGATGTGAAGTTGGGGAGTGGAGAGATGGGGAAGAGGAAGGAGTCTTTCACGGATAGGAAATAGCAAATGCAAAGTTCCTGAGTGGAACAGAAAGAAAAAAAAAAAGCTTAGCCTGCTCAAAAACCCTGAAAGAGCACCAATAAGGGTAGAATGCCGATTGTCACAAAAATGATATGAAAATATGTGGTAGTTGAATTAGAACCTGCAGAACTTTAAATAATTTATTTTAAGAATTTGAGTTTTTATCCTAGGAGTGATTAAGGAAGAGGGAAAGAGAGAGAGGAGAGGTCCTAATTGGTTTTTTAATAAAATAGAAACATAGAATTCTGGCTGCAGGGGAGCAAATGTGTAAGAAATATACCAGAGGGGATGGTGGGAGAAAGTTTAGGGAGCTACTGAAATAATTCTAGTGAATGCTGATAAGGGTTTAGACTACAATGTCAGAATTATAGACAGAAAGGTACAATGATTAATATTAGCATGCAAAATTCACAGTTTTTGTGATTGTTTGACTATATGGATGAAAGAATGAGAAGATATCACAAGCTTCCAGCCAACCAAACTTAATGGTGGGTGTTGCCATTCAGTGAGATAGGAAACACTGGTGACAGAATTATGAATTTGTTTTGAACATGTTGAGTTCGTTGGGTATTTGATATCTCCAAGTGAAAATTTAATATTGAGTGAAGAGTTGGATATACAGATCTGGAACTCAGATCAAATAGTAGTACATATAATTGATCCAAGGCAAGCTTGGGTTCATGCCAGAAGAATATACAAAGAGCAGATAACATAGTCCTTAACTGAGGTTAGAAACCACGAACTTGTAGCAGTGCAAATTTACAATGTTTAAATTATTTTTACAGTTCCCAGTAGTCCATATTTTAAATGGATATGAGTGCTTTGATTGAGAAGATATAGGATTATGATTAGGCAAGTACAATGAAAGGAAGAAACCAAGGCTTCTAGAGAGTGATGGTCTTTCATCTGTAAAGGGGGATGATGGGCTGGCCAAACACAGATTAATTTAAAAAGATGAGCAGAACATGAAAGGAAATAAGTGCACAGTAAACCAAGAATTTGTTGCCAGATAAAGGAATACTAGAATTAAAAATTCTGCAGTAGGAAACTAGGTGATCCAGAAAGTGGCCAGATGAGTGGTTAGCCAAATTGCTGTGAAATTAAGAAAGGTTTTTAAATGATCAAATCATAGCTAAAATTTAATATTAAAGAGAAAAATATACAAATCTGGAGCTATGAATTTGGAAGTCATTGCTGTATAATTATAGATGTATAGATGTCTCTTTCATTTGGATACTGGAATTTCCCAGGGTCATTATGGGACTTGGTATGGAGGATAAAATTATGAACCTGATAGCAAAATTGGTCAAGAAAATTGGAAGATTCACCAGTGGATGGGAACAGATGAGTGGATGACAGCATGAGCCACCAAGGAGAGGATGAATATAAAATACTGATGGAGCTTAGGTTACTGATTCAATCCAGGGCACTTCCTTCATGATGTCAAAGTAGCTGGGATTATTAATCACTAATTATAGGAACACAGATTCAAAGTAAGAAGATATATAAATAGATAGGGTGTATTTTATCAAGCCTGCATTTGCCTGGTGAGCTGTCTATACCCTTCCAGATCTTGTACAGTGCAAATGAGGAATCCTTTGAATCCACGGGATCGATGTTGCTCTTTGTTACAGTTCTGAATTAACATGCAAGGTTATTATTCTTTTGAGTTCCCCTTTCATTTATGCCATTTTGACAGTGCCATATATGTTAATATAGTATATTCCCTGAGTAGACAGATGTCCAATTTTATTCTTTCTTAATTACAATCACAATTCTATTGTGCCACCCTAGGGTGATATAAAAGTCACCTGGATTCAAGTCCAGTTGTGAAAGGCCTCATTCACCAACTTAGAGATTATCCTTCAGAACTGTGTAATTTTTAGTTTCTCTTCAAGTCTGCACATCAGGCTTACCTGGGAAACTTTCTAAAATTAAATTCCCTAAGTTTAATATTTATGCTACCTCTAGAGATTCTGATACATAGGTCTAAGTTTGACTCATAGAATCTATGATATTTATAGCTCTTTGGAACAGAAAGTTTTGAAAACTATTGGTTCAAAATCGGTTCATAAAAGGTATAATTTTAAATTGTGTTTCAGTGGTTTTTAATTTTATCACAGAGTTCAGGTGTCCATGAAATTTTATGGATACCTCGTTCTGACCCCTATCTATAACCTATAACTGGTCCTCTAGTTAGGATTTGTGATGGAATTTATCACTTTGTAAAATTATTCAGTGTGAGAAAACTGAAAAGTTATTTGAAAACAATAGGCTTAAAGCAATGCTATGTATTATTTTCTGTTTATCACTCCTCTCCATCTTAACCCATTGTGGAAAGGAAATTCCCCTTCCTCTTCAAGGAGGGAGGAGGTTGTTCATGTTTAGTGAACAACTATAGAAAACAGAGATAGTATCCTCCTCCTTAACAGAGACCAGGTTGACTGCTCAGTTTAATAAAGATGATGCTTTACTCTAGAGAAAATGGCAAATGAGTGCCACGTTTTCTTGCTGTCCATTATAAATACTAGGATTTCTAACTCCCAGGGTTCTTAAGCTGTGAAGAAAACTGACTACGTGTACCTGCAACCACCTGGCCCATTCCCCATTTTCCCCATGGGACTTGGGCCATAAGGGGAACCAATTCAAACTGATGCTCCTGCTAGTTGCAATAGAGTAATAAATCCTTTTTTCTCTAATCCAATAACCCCATGTCTTCTGCCAGCATCTATGAAACTGTGGAAGATCAGCTTAACTTGCAAGCAGGGTAAAATCTGACTATTCAAAGTTCTTGACACGTCTATAAATAAAAATTAAGAAAACCTACCTCATAGAATTGCTGTGACTACAATAATATTGCTGTGAGCGTAATTAATAAATGTAAAGTGTTTAGAATAATGCCTATTATATATGGAATAATCTCAAAAAACTTATCTATTAGTATTACCAGTATTCATAACTGAGAAATATATCCACTGTCTGCATCACTCACAGATACAGATCCATGGCATAGACAATAGTCACAGTAAAACTTCATACCTTTAAGAATTCATCCCTACATTAAAGTCTTTGTCACACTAAGTTAGAGGCAAACTCAAATGACTCCTGGGATCAGGTAAGTGAGTGGAAACTGTGCCAAAGTGGAGAGCAAAGATTACTTCAGAAGGGGGTGGCCCAAAGCATTTTCTGCTGATTATTACTATGTAGAAAAAATTGCGGACCCAGTGTTGCCAAATTACCAGATTTTAAAAAGGAATTCGTAATATCACAATAGGACTTTTTTAAAGGTTAAATATACTTTCATAGGTACTTGGAGCCAATGGCTCCAAATAAAGTCTGGGCCACATGCAGACCATGGATCCTTTGCTCTATTAAGAAAGATAAGGAGTATTGATATTCTTTTATAACTCTACCACTGAGAAAGGAAGATAGTGGTTGCTGCATGAGGGATTGATGGAGGAGAATGATCTTGTTAAAAACAAAACAAAACAAAAAACGAAGAGTTTCCTTATACCTTTATTTTTTAATGCCAAAGTAAATAACATTCCAGTTACAATAGCATAAGAGTTACACATTGTTATCTTTGAGGTACTTGTGTTTAGTCACCGCAAACACTAAAATCTGAGATTAATGGCATCATTGGAAGGGATTTGGTGCAATCTAATGTTAAAACCCTGAACTATCACAGGATAGTAGCTCATGTCAGGTTCAACACATGTCACTATGTCTTTGTCAAAATTTTAAAAGATCCTGTCATTTTTGTGAGGTTACTGTGATGCCGTGGGGTGCCTCAGCTCACAGTGAGGGCGCCAAACTCTGACACCATGCTGTATTCCTGTGTGCACAGAACATAGCATGACAGGATGAATATTACGCCTCATCAAGAATTAAATATTTAACATTTCCCGGGCTTTTAGTCTTTACATTAATTTTGTCCTATTCATAGGTTGGATCTAGTCCAATGCTTAGCAAAATGATAATAAATATAGAAGAAAAATTATCCCTGCTGCTGGCTATTTCTGCAAAGCCACTTAACTTTTCTTCCTGATTCCATTTTTATTTCTTCTCTCCTACTCTCCATAGCAGCATGTGGAATGCATAAAATGCAAATCCAAGCAAAACCTATCAATGTCTTGTGACCACCTTTGGACTGAAGTTCAGTGGTAACTTCCTACCTGGGCATTCTGTGCCACACAGGAATTGCCCTTTACTGACCATGCTATATACACCAGCTTTCCTGGCTCTTGATCTACAGAAGGCCTTTCAGTTTCTCCCTAAAGCCCCTCTCATATCTGGGCCACATGCTTTACCATGCTGGAACGTTCTTTTCCCTCTCTCTTGTTAATTCCCAGAAAAAGCAAGAGTCATGTCTTGCTCCATTTATTGTTACTGCTTTTCCCAGCACCACACTCAGAAGAGCACCTGCTGTACTTGTAGATATAAGACTCTGGAGGCAGTTATAAGTGGTTTTCTACTTGTGGCTCTGCTTTTAATACATTATGAATAATGCTTAGTTCAGTACCTAATGTTAAGTTCAGTAAAAAATCATGTAATCTCCAGGAATTATTTTATTTATTTTGTTTTTTAAATAATTTTGTGGCCGGGCGTGGTGGCTCATGCCTGTAATCCCAACATCTTGGGAGGCCTCGGCAGGTGGATCACTAAGGTTAGGAGTTTGAGACCAGCCTGGCCAAAATGGTGAAACCCCATTCCTATTAAAAATACAAAAGTTAGCAGAGAGTGGTGACAGGCGCCTGTAATCTCAGCTACTCAGGAGGCTGAGGCAGGAGAATTGCTGGAACCCAGGAGGCAGAGATTGCCGTGAGCCGAGATCACACCATTCCACTTTAGCCTGAGCAACAACAGCGAGACTCCGTCTCATATAAAAAAAAAAAAAAAGTGAGCATATAATAGGTGTATATATTTATGTGGTGTATGAGATATTTTGATACAGGCATGCAATGTGAAATAAGCATATCATGGGGAATGGGGTATCCATTCCCTCAAGCATTTATCTTTTAAGTTACAAACTATTCAATTATACACTTTATTTTAAACTGTACAGTTACTATTGACTATAGTCACACTATTGTGCTGTCAAATAGTAGGTCTTTGTGCTGTCAAATGGTAGGTCTTATTCTTTCTAACAATTTTTTGTACCCATTAACTACCCTCACCTCCCCCGCAACCCCCCGACAGGACCCTTCCCAGCCTCTGGTAGCCATCCTTCTACTCTCTATCTCCATGAGTTCAATTGTTTTGATTTTTAGATTCAACAAATAAGTGAGAACATGCAGTGTTTATCTTTCGTGCCTGGCTTATTTCACTGAACATAATGATCTCCAGTTCCATCCATGTTGTTGCAAATGACTGGATCTCATTAGTTTTTATGGCTGAATGGTACTCCATTGTGTATATGTACCACATTTTTTAATCCATTCATCTGTTGATGGACATTGAGGTTGCTTCCAAATCTTAGCTATTGTAAACAGTGCTACAACAAACAAAGGACCAGGAATTATTTTACTACCCAATTTTTGCTAATTTTTATAAGCAGTATTTTTTGGAAAATGACCACATTTTCAAGGAATTAATATGGGATGTTCCTCTCTTGAAATGTAGTCTAGAGCTTTAACAGAAAGGTGTCATCCTTGATGACAGAATAGTCAACATGATGGCAGGATCTGGGCAGAGAGAGTTTAGAAGTACATATGTCTTGGTATTACATGGGCAATCCCTTCTCCACCAACAGATAAGCTGTGTGTGACCTGCTGAATGTGTGGAGCAGCACTCAACCTGTTGAAGGCTTTGATTTCTCTCTGTGCTAGAGGGTAATAAATGAAAAGAAGATGAGACTTTGAAACCTCTAAGGCAGGCTTGTCTTTAGTCTGAATTTTCTTTTTTCTATTAGGAATAAGCTGCCACATGTAACAAGTGAGGACTCCCTAGAGCTTCAGATACCCTTGCCTGGGAACTACTTTGACCTCCTTAGAGACATGAGTAGGGTGTTTTGAGGACCATTCTGCTCCACAAATTCCTTTTGTGGCATCTTTCTAGAGCACTGGGTCTTACTAATTTAAGTATATTGGCTGGGCGTGGTGGCTCACACCTGTAATTCCTGCACTTTGGGAGGCTGAGGTGGGCAGATCACCTGAGGTCAGGAGTTCGAGACAAGCCTGGCCAACATGGTGAAACCCCATCTCTACTTAAAATACAAAAATTAGCTAGGCATGGTGACGGATACCTGTAATCCCAGCTACTCGGGAGGCTGAGGCAAGAGAATTGCTTGAACCCGGAGATGGAAGTTGCAGTGGGCCGAGATCACGCCATTGCACTCCAGCCTGGGTGACAGAGTGAGACTCCATCTCAAAAAATAAAAAATAAAAATTAATTAATTAATTAACAAACCTATTGACTATTGACTTTTCTCCCACCCCCACCCCCTCACCATTATCTCTCTACCACAATCTCCATTCTCCCGAAATTCTTATGTCCTGGTAACTGCCCAGGAACAGGATGGTCTTTACTATATTCCAGATTTCAGCAATTTAATCACGTTTATGTAAAGTATGCCTCTATTCAAAGCAGATTTGATAAGGCTTATTAAAATACATATAGTAAAAATGATTATAACAATAATGGTGATTAAAAAAACAGCAGCCAGTGAAGATGTACTTGGACAGAGAAAAGAAGGAAAGAAGAAACAATATGACACTGGGGAAAATGTTAATAGGTTGCTTTTAGCACATTCTAATAATCTGTGCACTGATTGTCATGAAACATATAAACTGAACTTTCCAGCAGCCAAGGTAAATAAATAAATATAGAATTTCACGTGGGGATGGAGGAGCTTGCCAGGTTGTTCTATTGCAATAGCCTGTGAGGTACTAGGTTTACCTCTTTTTGCCTAATTCACAGTAATCTTTTGCTAAGCAAATGCCATTTAAAAGACATGAGGACTTTCTTGAAAGGGCAAATAAAAGAGGATTTGGCAGATATTAAAGTGCTGTGGCTGGTGATTGGACCTCTCCAGCTTACACACCCTAAAGAGTGCAATACTATCAAGACCAAGGAAATGTTTACATTACTATGGAGTTTCTGGCTTCTCTACGACTTTCAGTTTTAATGTCCTGTTCAGTAAGTGTGGAAAAAAATAATGAAAGGCCATGGCATTTTTATAACAAACCATAAAGATGGTATTTTTATCTTAAATTTCAGATGAGCAATGTCTTGTTCTTCGTTTTATTGAACATTTGCAAATTAATCTCAAACAGATCAAAATACAGCTAAGAGGAAAATTTTTTAAGTATAGCTTAGAATTTGAAAGCAAATTTTCCTAACATGGCTAACCAGTTCATAATTTGGGAGTTCTAGATTCATGATGTCATGAAATTCCAGCTAACCACAGCATTCTCAAATATCAAGTGTAAGCTAATTTGACATGTGAAAATCAATTTTTTTTTCCAAAGTTGAGGGTTATTCTAAAGGATAGTATTGCAAAATGTAAAACTGAATATCTTTTCTAGTCAAGGAAAATCTTACTTTGTAGACTGGGAATGAAAGACACGTGCAGCCTGTTTATTCCTTCATACCTGTAGCATAAAATACACTGGCTGCTGTCTTTAGCAGTTACATAACCAAACAAAAGAAAAATAGGACACCAAATCTTTAGGTCATCTATATAGCACATTGACTATTATAACCATCTGATTGAAAAGTGTGAAAAAATATAAGTCAGTTTAGAATCATTCTAAATTATGTAATTTGAAAAAATGAAATTTGAACTCTTATCAAAACATTTTATGTGCATTTTATTTTGTTTATTTGCATAAATAAAAACACCAAAAATTTTTGATGCGTAATTCAATGCTGAGATGATGTAGAGGAAGGCAATACGTAATCTATGCAAACTGAAATGACAATTTCAAAGGATAGCAGAAAATCCAGTCACCAAAGAGGATTTAGAGGGCTAAATTTTAATTTGGAATCTTGACCTGTGCTAATTAAAAGGCAAAATGAACTATTGAATGCTTTTTTCTAGTTCAAAAACTATTTGGTTATGTATTTGACACAGATGAATTTTTTATAATTTCATTAATAAGGTTATCTTCTCTCAAATTATTGAGAAATATGCTTTTAAAATGCTATTAATTTTGACGATTTTTTCCAGTTTTCAATTATATGGATTATCATCTATAAAAGTTAAATTAACAAGTATCTTCTCAATGCATTTGATGTAAAATGTTCTTTCTTTTCCCCAAATGTTCTCTTTTTCTATGAGAAAATAAAATTATTATAACGATGCAGGGTATTTGGCAGTGTAGCTCTCGCTGAAAATAAACACTAAATAGTATTGACTGCATACTGAAGGCTGAAGAGATTGAAACTTACAAGTTTAATAAATCCAGACTTGGTGTTATAGTGTGTGTGTGTGTGTATAAATATATATATATGTGTATATAGATATATATATAGATATATATATATAGGTATATATATAGGTATATATATGAATATATGTATGAATATATATGTGTATGTGTGTGTATATATATATATACATATATATATTCTTTCCAGTATTTAAACAATCAAAAGCAAAATGGTATATACGTACCTACAATGATGACATTACCTATTTGCATGAATTGTAAAAAATATTTGTTTCTCTGGAACCTGATCCTCAATTATTTCAGAAATTTAAGGGAGGAAAATCTGTTTGGAAGGCTTTGGAAAATTTATTTCATTGTTTTTTACTATTATTTTAGGAAGAAGATCACTTATTTTTGGAGTGCCAGCACCCTCTACTTCAGATAGGATACTTTTAAATGAAGCGATGAAATCGTATTTTGTTAAAACTTGAAACAATAGTTATATAACATATTTTGTAGGTTTTACTATGCTTTGCCATTTTTATCTTATGAACTAGTTGACAATGTAACTATCTAATGACATAAACTGATACTTCTTTCTCAAAACATAAAAGCTTCTTTCTCCCCCATGGGCTGTTAAAAATTATTATTTTTTTATGGTCACATTAGGATTGTGTAACTAGTTTCTAATGGGATTTCATGTGTATATTCTTGAACTTTTAAAAATTATTTTTTAATTGACAAATAATATATATTTTAATTTATTTAAAAATTGTGTATATACAACATGATGTTTTGAAGTATATATACATTGAGAAATGGCTATATCTATCTAATAACAAATGCATTATGTCATATGATTATTTTGGGGGTAACACAACACAATTTTCGATATGTTGTGTTTAGGTAGTACCCTAAATGACGCCTTTTTTACTTGTTGATTGTCTTGGTGAAATTTGCTGTTCCTTCTAGGCCTACCTGGAAAGTCCGACATTAACTCTGCTCTATTTAATCTTCTAATCATTTAATTTAAAGTAAATAGCAATGACGAAATAATATTTCATATTGATGACAGTATGAATTACAAAGATAGTTATTTGAAACCACATATGTAATATTACATATTGGAAAAACATATAGGGAATTACAATCCTGGACAGGTCAAATAATATTCATCTGAGTAAACTGAAGAATAACAAAAATAAAGTAGATCTGATAGATGTACATACAATTCTGCTCTTCAAATAAAAAATATAACTGTTTTTTCCCATGTAGGAGTAAACTTGTTTGTTTGTTTTTAAATCAATATTCTGTTGAGTAGTAAAGAAATAACAATCAGTAAAAGAAAATGTAAAAGAGTTATGCACACTATTTTGTCTGGCACTAATTTAATAATCCTATAATGATAATAGAAGAAAAAATTTTAATGGCAATATAATGAATATTTAGGAATAACCTCTTGAGACAAATATACAAAATCTTCAATTAAAAAATACCTAGAAATAACAGCTAACCTAACAAATATATAAGCTCTGTTTAAAACCTTATTTAAAAGAAAATTTATGTGTCAAACATTTTCACTGGTGCAAATAAATATTGAAAGAAAGAAACAAATATTAAGAAAAAATAATGAAAAATTTAAAAATAAATAGAACATAATAAAGATAAAATTAGAAATCAAATTGTAAAGCAGACTTTAGAATTTATAAAGTCAGTAAAATAATCAATAGCTCTAGAATCACTAGTTAATCCAACTAAGAAAAGAAAAATAAATTATTAATATGCACAAATAATCAAGAAATTAATTGCCAATAAGGATGAAATTAAAAGAATAGAAAGAAAATGCATTTTATAACTCTAGGCATAGATATCTGAAAATCTATATGAAATAAATACACTTCTCTAAAAATATAAGTTATAAAAAGTATTTATTAGAAAACAGAAAAATTACAGATAATGTGGAAAATATACCTTTTATCGTATATCTACTAGTTGTATCAAAATGTAAAGAAACTGATCCATTTTAAAACTGATTCCAGGCATGGAGAAGAAGCAAAGCTTCCCATTAGTTTGTATAATGTCGCCACATCAGTAGCAAAGTCTTATAAAGACAGCACAGAGAAAGAAAATTGCAGATCAATTTTACTGAAATATTAATCAATTTTACTGCAATATTAATGCAAAAATCCTAAATGAAATACTAGCAAATAATATACAATCATATACTAAAAGAATCACTAATCTTTAAAAAGTAAGTTCATTCACACTAATTCAAATTTGTTTAATATTAAGAAATCCATCTATATAACTAACCATTTTAATCAGTTCATTGACTTGTAATTATGTTCATCTTAATAGATATTAAGTAGATATTTGAAAATTGGAAAACTCCATTCAAGAAACAAAACAAAACCTGTATAAGAATATGTATACCAAAGGCCGTTGCCACAATTAGTGGCAATACCCTTGCAATCTACCTATTAAAATTGGTGGAATTGGGGCGATAAGAAAAAGGAGAAGTAGGAAAAGAGAGATGGAGAAGAAGAGAAGGAAGAGTCAGAAAAAGGAAGAGCAATAGTAACAGGGTCCTAAATTTTAGAAGTCCTTGCACAATTGGGACAGCCAATGCCAATTGTATTTTACAAGAGGTGAATCTGTCATTCTTTCTTGTTGGTATAATTGAAAATGAGACTGTCCAAGAGAAATATGTAAAAAAAGAAAAATGCTAGAAATAGGTAGAGATTCAGTAAGGTGGAAACGTACGAACATAAATTTAAAATGTAATAGCTTAGAAACCATAATGGGAATATAAGTGATTTAATTGTAAGAAAAAATATATAAAAAACCTTAGAGAGAAATAATAATGTTGTATAAACTTTAGAGGAATTCAAGTATACAATTAAGTAATTAATTAAGAAGATACATTTTAGTATTGGATACTATTAAGAAGATTCATTCTAGTGTTTAATATTTTATGTGTTATAAAATATTATCTTATATAAATATACTCATATGGAAATATTTATTATCCTTAGTTTGTGACTCCGTAAGGGACATAGCAACCAGCATTCTGTTAAATACATATGCTTTCCACATAACTATAACTCATATTAAAATAATATATACAGCTGCCAAAATATTTTCTATTTTAAAGTAATTGGTGTATCTCAATATGAAACATCTTCTCTTTTAAGCATTTATGTATGTATAGTTATTTTAGTAAATCAGTACAATGCATATTATAATAGAATAACATATATGAAAAGATCCTGGTGTCATCTTGTCAATATGCTTTGTTTCAATTCTAATTCATGCTCTTGTTGCTTTATTGTCTTGTTGTCATGGTCACACACAATAAATTACAATAAAGTTGGGCTTCTCGCCCGCCCGCCCCTCGCCCGCGCGCCGGCCCTGCAGAGCCGGCCGACCTGGCTCTCCTCCGTGACCCGGACCAGCGGGCGGACTGCCCTGAGGAGGCCGGGAGCGGAGGGCTGGGCCAGCCAGCGGGCGGGCGAAGATGCCGAACTTCTGCGCTGCCCCCAACTGCACGCGAAGCGCACGCAGTCCGACCTGGCCTTCTTCAGGTTCCCGCGGGACCCGGCCAGATGCCAGGAGTGGGTGGAGAATTGTAGGAGAGCTGACTTAGAAGATAAAACACCTGATCGGCTGGGCGCGTTGACTCACGCCTGTAATCCCAGCACTTTGGGAGGCCGAGGAGGTCAGCAGATCGAGACCATCCTGGCTAACACGGTGAAACCCCGTCTCTACTAAAAATACAAAAATTAGCCGGGAGCGGTGGCGGGCGCCTGTAGTCCCAGCTACTCGGGAGGCTGAGGCAGGAGAATGGCGTGAACCCGGGAGGCGGAGCTTGCAGTGAGCCGAGATCGCGCCACTGCACTCCAGCCTGGGCGACAGCGAGACTCCATCTCAAAAACAAAAACAAAAACCTGATCAGCTAAATAAACATTATCGATTATGTGCCAAACATGAGACCTCTATGATCTGTAGAACTAGTCCTTATAGGACAGTTCTTCGAGATAATGCAATACCAACAATATTTGATCTTACAGTCATTTGAACAAACCACGTAAGTAGACACAGAAAACGAATAAAAGAACTGAGTGAAGACGAAATCAGGACTGAAACAGAAAAACATTGATGAAACTTCTGAGCAGGAACAAAAACATAAACCAACAATAGCAATGCTCAGAACCCCAGTGAAGAAGAGGGTGAAGGGCAAGATGAGGACATTTTACCTCTATCCCTTGAAGAGAAGGAAAACAAAGAATACCTAAAATCTCTATTTGAATTATTGATTCTGATGGGAAAGCAAAATATACCTCTGGATGGACAGGAGGCCGAAGAAATCCCAGAAGGTCTCTTTACCCTAGATAACTTTCAAGCACTGCTGGAGTGCCAGATAAATTCTGGTGAAGAGGTTCTGAGAAAGCGCTTTGAGACAACAGCAGTTAACACGTTGTTTTCTTCAAAAACACAGCAGAGGCAGATGGTAGAGATCTGTGAGAGCTGTATTCGAGAAGAAACTCTCAGGGAAGAGAGAGAATCACACTTCTTTTCCATTATCACTGACGATGTAGTGGACATAGCAGGGGAAGAGCACCTAACTGTGTTGGTGGGGTTTGTTGATGAATCTCATAGCCTAAGAGAGGAATTTATAGGTTTTCTGCCTTATGAAGCTGATGCAGAAATTTTGGCTGTGAAATTTCACACTATGATAACTGAGAAGTGGGGATTAAATATGAAGCATTGTCGTGGTCAGGCTTACATTGTGTCTAGTGGATTTTCTTCCAAAATGAAAGTTGTTGCTTCTAGACTTTTAGAAAAATATCCCCAAGCTATCTACACACTCTGAACTTCCTGTGCCTTAAATATGTGGTTGGCAAAATCAGTACCTGTTATGGGAGTATCTGTTGCATTAGGAACAATTGAAGAAGTTTGTTCTTTTTTCCCTTGATCACAACTGCTTTTAGAACTTGACGATGTAATTTCTGTTCTTTTTCACAACGGTTAAGAAAGGGGTAAAGAACTGAAGGAAATCTGCCATTTTCAGTGGACACGCAGGCATGATGCTTTTGAAATTTTGGTGGAACTCCTGCAAGCACTTGTTTTAGGTTCAGATGGTATAAATAGTGACACAAATATTAGATGGAGTAACTGTGTAGCTGGCAGAGCATTTATACTCTGCAGTGCAGTAACAGATTTTGATTTCATTGTTACTATTGTTGTTCTTAAAAATGTCCTATCTTTTACAAGAGCCTTTGGGGAAAATCTCCAGGGGCAAACCTCTGATGTCTTATTTGCAGCTGGTAGCTTGACTGTAGTACTGCATTTACTCAACGAAGTGATGGAAAATATTGAAGTTTATCATGAATTTTGGTTTGAGGAAGCCACAAATTTGGTAACCAAACTTGATATTCAAATGAAACTCCCTGGAAAATACCACAGTGTTCACCAAGGTAACTTGGAATCTCAGCTAGCCTCTGAGAGTTACTATAAAGAAACACTAAGTGTCCCAACAGTGGAGCACATTATTCAGGAACTTAAAGATATATTCTTAGAACAGCACCTCAAAGCTCTTAAATGCTTATCTCTGGTACCCTCAGTCATGGGACAACTCAAATTCAATACACCGGAGGAACACCATGCTGACATGTGTAGAAGTGACTTACCCAATACTGACACGCTCTCAGCCAAGCTTCACTGTTGGAGAATCAAATAGAAACACAGGAGGAAAGATATAGAGCTTCCATCCACCATCTATGAAGCCCTCCACCTGCCTGACATCAAGTTTTTTCCTAATGTGTATGCATTGATGAAGGTCCTGTGTATTCTTCCTGTGATGACGGTTGAGAATGAGTGGTATGAAAATGGACGAAAGCGTCTTAAAGCATATTTAAGGAACACTTTGACAGACCAAAGTTCGAGTAACTTGGCTTTGCTTAACATAAATTGTGACATAAAACACAACCTGGATTTAATGGCGGACACACACGTTAAACCCTATACAAGTAAGTCAGAGCTTCCCACAGATAATTCCAAAACCATCGAAAATACCTAGGAGAGTTTTAAAAATAGGCCTTCTTATATTTGATATTTTAAAGAAAAGCCATATGGTGTATGTAAACCTCTTAATCACTAAATGTCTTTGCCTATAGAACTCCATTGAATACATTAGCCATTGATAATGTACCTGTTTAAATGGCCCCTGTTTGAACTCTCAGGCTTTGAAAACCTACCTGTTCTTCCAGAAGAGAACATTGAAAGTGCCATGTTTCCTTCTGCGTGTACTCTGCTGATGGCACTCTGGAATTGTTTTAGTTAGGTCATTTTAGACATAGCATTTATTATCACTGTGGATCTCTACTTGTTGGGTGTTACAAATTCTTTGAAGAAGTATGTTTTGAAGAGGTGCGGGAGGAAGGAATACATTTTATAAAATGTTATAGTGACACCCACAGTTGACCTTTGACTAATAGGAGTTTTAAGTATGTTAAAAATCTCTCCTGGACAGTTACAAGAAATTACCGGAGAAAAGCTTGTGAGCTCGCCAAACAAGGATTTCAGTGCAGATTTTGTCTTTCTCTAACTTAAAGGAGCAAATGACAGTTAAAATTTGAATGGAAGAGCCTGGCGTTGTTCTACATCTCATTGTTGCTGTTTACATTCCTTTGTGGAGCCTACATCTTCCTAAGCTTTTTAGCCGGTATATGTTGAACACTTCTGTTTCATGGTTAAGACGGAATCAGAGGCCATGGGTACTGACAACTGACTTGTCTGTTTTCTTTCTGTCTTTTTCCATGACTCTTACCTACTGCCTCATCTTGATTTATAAGCAAAACCTGGAAAACCTACAAAAATAAGGATTGTGGTTTATCTAGAAAACTATGGAAAACATTGCTGTTATTTTTGATGAAGAAAATCCATTTTGTATAGTTTATTTCAATCAAAACAAAATGTGAATTTTGTTTAAAAATGGAAAAAAGAAACTTAATCATTTTATTCACTAAAGGAAAATAATTTACGAGCTTCTAGAAATTTTACTATCATGTAATTAACTCATGTCAGTCTTTTGATACACTATTTTTTTAGTACATTCTAATACTATAGTGGTAAAGTACATAAATGGAAATTTATGTATATTAGGGTGAAACAAGTAAACAGAGGGAAATAATATATAAAACATGTTATATAGCTACTACTTGGGAATGTATGCAAACATCTACCTATATCTTTTTATATTTAATTACTAATAAGCATCTTGCATATGATAAACTGTTAGAATTATTTCTTGTACCAATCTATCTCTTAAAAGTTTTCTAGATAAGAGAATAAGAGAAAATTGTGCAACATATTTTCTAACTTTGCTGAAATTATTTTGAGTTAAAGGTTAATGACATGTAAGGAAAAAATTATGATGAAATAAGAGGAAAATATAATTAAATGATAGTAATGTGCTACCAGTTGTTTAACTTCCACCTCTTTTTTCCTTTAGGAAAAAGCTAGCACAAATTTTGTTAATCACAGGCCAACACATTATCCTTCTCTGCGGAAGTTTCAAAGGTGCGGGGAGGTGGAAAACTTAAGTTGACCCTTTCATTGCCTCTGAAAGTAATTTCTATAATCTTAACCTCCTGAATTCAGTCTCTGGCATTTTATGATAATGTTAACACTTAGGGAAATCATGTTTTATTCATATTTAATGATGATTAATATGTCGCTGCTATATAATCAAGATAAAATAGACTAGTTTCCAAAAGTGTTCTTTTTTATAACAAAGAAAACAGAAATTACTAAGGATTCAATGAGGGGTTTAAAACAACTTTAAATTCAACAAAAGAATTATTTTAAAACTTTCACTGATTTTTTTAAAAATCTGAACTTTGAGAATACTTAGAAAAACAAAATTTCATTTGTTTCAAAAGAAGAAAATCAATCCAATAGAAAAATACAATAATCATTTTCTAACCACTGTATATCAAACAGTTGTGCTTATTGCTTTAAGCTTTTACAGACCCATTTCTGTGCCATCAAGCTAATATGGGTTCATACTACTCTGGACAAGCTGGAAAAAAAATGTGTGTATATATATGTGTGTGTGTGTGTGTATATATATATATATATATATATATAATTTACACTATATAGATATGAGGCAATATGTTACAATAACATAAGTATGGGACAATCTGGAAAATATATCCCTTTGAGTCCTCAAGAGTTCTATGATTTGGTCAAATAGATGTTATTCCTAAGCTCCTAGACATGTTTTACTAATTATTTACACAAGAGCTCAAAATTATTTGATTTCTGAAGAAAAATTATAAAATATTTTTACTTGATCATAAAATAATTTAGCAAGTACTGTTAGGAAGAAAAGTATTTTTTGGCTGGTCATGGTGGCACATGCCTGTAATCCAGCATTTTGGGAGGCCAAGACCCGCAGATCGCTTGAGCCAGGAGTTGGAGAGCAGACTGGGAAACTTGAGGAATCCCGCCTCTACAAAAACTGCAAAAATTAGCCGGGCACAGTAGCATACACGTGTAGTCTCAGCTCTTCAGGAAGCTGAGGTAGGAAAGTCACTTAAACCCAGAAGCAGAGGCTGCAGTAAGCCGAGACTGTGCCACTGCACTCCAGCTTGGGCGACACCAGGAGACCCTGTCTCCAAAAAAAAAAAAAGAAAGAAAAAGAAGAAGAAAGGGATTTCTTTTGTGTGCTAAATTGCAATTGGCTTAGGAAAAATTATGTTATGTGTACCCTTAAAAACTTTTTTCTTTTTTTTTTATAAAGTCTTTTATTTATTTTATTTTATTTTTATTATTTTTTTATTATACTTTAAGTTTTAGGGTACATGTGCACATTGTGCAGGTTAGTTACATATGTATACATGTGCCATGCTGGTGCGCTGCACCCACTAACTCGTCATCTAGCATTAGGTATATCTCCCAATGCTATCCCTCCCCCCTCCCCCCACCCCACAACAGTCCCCAGAGTGTGATATTCCCCTTCCTGTGTCCATGTGATCTCATTGTTCAATTCCCACCTATGAGTGAGAATATGCGGTGTTTGGTTTTTTGTTCTTGCAATAGTTTACTGAGAATGATGATTTCCAATTTCATCCATGTCCCTACAAAGGACATGAACTCATCATTTTTTATGGCTGCATAGTATTCCATGGTGTATATGTGCCACATTTTCTTAATCCAGTCTATCATTGTTGGACATTTGGGTTGGTTCCAAGTCTTTGCTATTGTGAATAATGCCGCAATAAACATACGTGTGCATGTGTCTTTATAGCAGCATGATTTATAATCCTTTGGGTATATACCCAGTAATGGGATGGCTGGGTCAAATGGTATTTCCAGTTCTAGATCCCTGAGGAATCGCCACACTGACTTCCACAATGGTTTAACTAGTTTACAGTCCCACCAACAGTGTAAAAGTGTTCATATTTCTCCACATCCTCTCTAGCACCTGTTGTTTCCTGACTTTTTAATGATTGCCATTCTAACTGGTGTGAGATGGCATTGCATTGCGGTTTTGATTTGCATTTCTTGATGGCCAGTGATGGTGAGCATTTTTTCATGTGTTTTTTGGCTGCATAAATGTCTTCTTTTGAGAAGTGTCTGTTCATGTCCTTCGCCCACTTTTTGATGGGGTTGTTTGGTTTATTCTTGTAAATTTGTTTGAGTTCATTGTAGATTCTGGATATTAGCCCTTTGTCAGATGAGTAGGTTGTGAAAATTTTCTCCCATTTTGTAGGTTGCCTGTTCACTCTGATGGTAGTTTCTTTTGCTGTGCAGAAGCTCTTTAGTTTAATTAGATCACATTTGTCAATTTTGTCTTTTGTTGCCATTGCTTTTGGTGTTTTAGACATGAAGTCCTTGCCCATGCCTATGTCCTGAATGGTAATGCCTAGGTTTTCTTCTAGGGTTTTTATGGTTTTAGGTCTAACGTTTAAGTCTTTAATCCATCTTGAATTGATTTTTGTATAAGGTGTAAGGAAGGGATCCAGTTTCAGCTTTCTACATATGGCTAGCCAGTTTTCCCAGCACCATTTATTAAATAGGGAATCCTTTCCCCATTGCTTGTTTTTCTCAGGTTTGTCAAAGATCAGATAGTTGTAGATATGAGGCGTTATTTCTGAGGGCTCTGTTCTGTTCCATTGATCTATATCTCTGTTTTGGTACCAGTACCATGCTGTTTTGGTTACTGTAGCCTTGTAGTATAGTTTGAAGTCAGGTAGCGTGATGCCTCCAGCTTTGTTCTTTTGGCTTAGGATTGACTTGGTGATGCGGGCTCTTTTTTGGTTCCATATGAACTTTAAAGTAGTTTTTTCCAATTCTGTGAAGAAAGGCATTGGTAGCTTGATGGGGATGGCATTGAATCTGTAAATTATCTTGGGCAGTATGGCCATTTTCACGATATTGATTCTTCCTACCCATGAGCATGGAATGTTCTTCCATTTGTTTGTATCCTCTTTTATTTCCTTGAGCAGTGGTTTGTAGTTCTCCTTGAAGAGGTCCTTCACATCCCTTGTAAGTTGGATTCCTAGGTATTTTATTCTCTTTGAAGCAATTGTGAATGGGAGTTTACTCATGATTTGGCTCTCTGTTTGTCTGTTGTTGGTGTATAAGAAAGCTTGTGATTTTTGTACATTGATTTTGTATCCTGAGATTTTGCTGAAGTTGCTTATCAGCTTAAGGAGATTTTGGGCTGAGACAATGGGGTTTTCTAGATATACAATCATGTCGTCTGCAAACAGGGACAATTTGACTTCCTCTTCTCCTAATTGAATACCCTTTATTTCCTTCTCCTGCCTAATTGCCCTGGCCAAAATTGACACCCTAACATCACAATTAAAAGAACTAGAAAAGCAAGAGCAAACACATTCAAAAGCTAGCAGAAGGCAAGAAATAACTAAAATCAGAACAGAACTGAAGGAAATAGAGACACAAAAAACCCTTCAAAAAATTAATCCAGGAGCTGGTTTTTTGAAAGGATCAACAAAATTGATGGACCGCTAGCAAGACTAATAAAGAAAAAAAGAGAGAAGAATCAAATAGATGCAATAAAAAATGATAAAGGGGATGTCACCACCGATCCCACAGAAATACAAACTACCATCAGAGAATACTACAAACACCTCTAGGCAAATAAACTAGAAAATCTAGAAGAAATGGATAAATTCCTCGACACATACACTCTCCCAAGACTAAACCAGGAAGAAGTTGAATCTCTGAATAGACCAATAACAGGAGCTGAAATTGTGGCAATAATCAATAGCTTACCAACCAAAAAGAGTCCAGGACCAGAAGGATTCACAGCCGAATTCTACCAGAGGTACAAGGAGGAACTGGTACCATTCCTTCTGAAACTACTCCAATCAATAGAAAAAGAGGGAATCCTCCCTAACTCATTTTATGAGGCCAGCATCATTCTGATACCAAAGCCAGGCAGAGACACAACAAAAAAAGAGAATTTTAGACCAATATCCTTGATGAACATTGATGCAAAAATCCTCAATAAAATACTGGCAAAACGAATCCAGCAGCACATCAAAAAGCTTATCCACCATTATCAAGTGGGCTTCATCCCTGGGATGCAAGGCTGGTTCAATATACGCAAATCAATAAATGTAATCCAGCATATAAACAGAGCCAAAGACAAAAGCCACATGATTATTTCAATAGATGCAGAAAAAGCCTTTGACAAAATTCAACAACTCTTCATGCTAAAATCTCTCAATAAATTAGGTATTGATGGGACGTATTTCAAAATAATAAGAGCTATCTATGACAAACCCACAGCCAATATCATACTGAATGGGCAAAAACTGGAAGCATTCCCTTTGAAAACTGGCACAAGACAGGGATGCCTTCTCTCACCACTCCTATTCAACATAGTGTTGGAAGTTCTGGCCAGGGCAAAAACTTTTTTTCTTTTGAGACAGAGTCTTATTCTGTCACCCAGGTCACACAGGCTGGAGTGCGGTGACGAGATCTCGGCTCACTGCAACCTCCGCCTCCCAGGTTTAAGTGATTCTCATGCCTCAGCCTCCTAAGTAGCTGGAATTACAGGCATCCACCACCACGCCCAGCTAATTTTTGTATTTTTAGTAGAGATGAGGTTTTGCCATGTTGGCCAGGCTGGTCTCGAACTCCTGACCTCAAGTGATTTGCCTGCCTCAGCCTCCCAAAGTGCTGGGATTTCAAGTGTGAGTCACCGCACCTGGCCAAAACTGCTTTTTTGTATCCATCCACTTCAATTCCCCTTTCAAACCCTTTAATGCCATTTAATTATGTTGCTTCCCGGAGGAATATATTTCCTTCTGTCCTATATCAGTGATGTACCTTAGCTTAAGATAGAAATTCATTAGTGTAGACATGGCTTAAGTAGTCTCTAATAATAATTTTTAACAGATTATCTCATCATTTCTCATATCTACAAAAAGTCTGTGAAAAATATCTTTATTGGATCAATAAAGATCCCATTTAGCTTAATGTATGGTTTCAAGTAAATGATGTGCTACTCACTGTAAAAATTTCTCACTTAAAAATATTGGATTATTCTTTCTGTTAAGTTTATTGTCCTCCAGGCTCATCCATGTTGGAGCAAATGGCAAGATCCTATTCTTTGTGAGGGTTAAATAATATTTGATTGCATATATGTACCACAAAATGATCTCACTTCTATGTGGAGTTTTAAAAAGTATTCAACTATACAAAGATAGAGAACAAAACAGCAGTTATCAGTGGCAGGGGATAGGGAAAGAAATGGAAAGATATAAGTCAAGAGATAAAGTAGCAGATATACAGGAAGAGCAAGTCTAGAGATCTAATACACAACATGAGAACTATAGGCAATATACCTGTAATGTATATGGGATTCATGCTAAATGAGTAGATTTTAGCTGCTTTTGCCACACACTCAAAAAAAGGTAACTGAAATAATGCAAAGTGTTCATTTGCTCACAGTACTATCTATATGCATTTTTACTGTCTATATGCACCTTATAATATCATGTTGTATACCTTAATTATACAAAATATAATTTTTATGAAAATATATTGGATTATTTTTGAGAGAATGAATCTTTACAAATACACATAATTGTCATTTTAGCTTTTTAATTATAAATACACATACACACAAGCATGCACTTAGAGAATGTTCTCATTTTCTGAACTACAGATGGTTCTTTAGTAAATGTAACCTAGGTGATTCAATAATAACATGATTTTAAATAACTATAAGCCTCAGTTATTCCTTGTTCTCATTTAATTCAGTTTCCATGTCTCCCACCATTAGCCTTTGTAATAGTTTAATAGTGCATTCTATCTCTCTCCTTCTCTTTCAAACTTATTTTGTAATGACTCAAACTTTAGAGGACTTCTTGAGAATGGATCAATGTCTGAAAAACTTGACAATTAGATAGCATTAACATTGACACAAAAGCTTAAACTTGTTTGTAATATTCAATTATTTTGTCTTTTTATCATTATAACCTTGCTTTTGTCAAAACTGTAAATGATGACCTGTTTCTACAGTTTGAGTAAAAACTGATACCTTTAAAAATATGCATAATAGCCATTTTAGCTTTTTTATTATAAATACACATACACACACATGCACTTAGAGAGCGTCCTCATTTTCTGAACTACAAATAGTTATTTAGCAAATTTAACCTAGGTTATTCAATAATAATATGATTTAAAATAACTTCAGGCCTCAGTTATTCCTTGCCCTCATTTAATTCAGCTTCCATGTCATTTTGGCTTACTTTTCACAGAAAATATGCATATGCATAAACGTTTGCAGAATCAAACATAATATGGACATTCTATTGCTACTTTTTTAGTAACACTAAAACATCCATATATAGGCATCTTTTCATATACCTGCCCACTGAGTCTATACTTCAAAAAATAAAATATATAGCAAAAAAAAGAAAATTATTTCTCTGGTTGAGATCTTCAGGGTTCTAGCATTTTTTACTTCATTTTACCCAGTCCCCCTTTTCCCAGTTTGTGTGGCATGGCAAATAGTATAAAAAGGGAGGAAAAAGCAAATATCAAAAATGCAATGTGCTACACACATTGAAAACAATACTAGCAGATATTGAGAAAATTTTTTCTTTCAAATTCCAATACGTATAAACAAATGTAACACAAGTAAGTTTGTACACACTGCCCTGTAAATTACATTACTTATCCTCTGGTCAGTTCTCTTACAGATTCTCACCTTAGAAAAATTCACAATTCAAAAACAGTTCTCCAGAATGAGGTTTTTTGTTTGTTTGTTTGTTTGTTTTGTTTTGTTTTGTTTTGTTTTTTTGAGACAGAGTTTTGCTCTTGTTGCCCATGGCTCACTGCAACCTCCACCTCCCGGGTTCAAGCAATTTTCCTGTCTTGGCCTCCTGAGTGCCTGGGATTCCAGGCATGCACCACCACACCCAGCTAATTTTGTATTTTTAGTAGAGACGGGGTTTCTCCATGTTGGTGAGGTTGGTCTCAAACTCCTGACCTCAGGTGATCTGCCCGCCTCGGCCTCCCAAAGTCCTGGGATTACAGGTGTGAGCCGCCACACCCAGCCTAGCTCTTTTTTAACCTTTGGGAGAAGGATACGTCTTTGCCTTACTCTTAAAACAAATGCAACACCTATCTTCCATGGCTGTGGTTCTTTTGAAGTTCTATTTCTCACTGCAGATGACACTGTTTACCTGGAAATAGCTTCTTTTTAGACTGCCAACTCTGTCTTAACTTCAGCCCCAATCTTCACTTCATCACTCTGACATGGATCAGTATTAAGAAAAATTCTGAAGAATTCAAGGTTTGATTTAGCTCCTTGTTTCTATTTCCCACTGAATCTTGAATTACTGGAAGTAAATTTATTAAGCACTTTCACATTCTGTCCATGCTCCCATTTCAATCAAAATTTACGTTGACTTTCCCCATTCACCCAGAGTTCTATTTCAAGCTTGCCAAAGAAATATTTACAATTTGATCAACTGAATCGCATTAATATGCAAATATGACAGTGTTCACCTTAAGATCTTCCTTCCCCCAAATAGCTTCAGTGAGATGTAGCCATTGGAAAGCAATGCCTCCTTTACATTGCCTATTTGACCCCACCATAGTAGGCTGACCCCTTTAACAGGCCTAAGCCATATTACACAAGTTCTGACCTACCTTTCATTGGCAAGGGACAGATCAGGTATCTAATTTTATCATTTCAATGTATGCATATTCATATTCTGAAACTTATAATTTTTTACTTGTTCTCACTTAGAGCACAAGTAAGCGAGAATCTCTATTGCTGAGTTATACATTAGAATTTTCAAAGCGAGCAGTAAATAAAATGAAAGACAATTGTATTTCTACCAAGAGATACTTTATGGAGTATTAACATATCACATCTTCAGGTACAAGTTGAAATTATCTCAGGCCTGAGGTCTGCTCAAATTAGTATGTTGTTAGTAATTTGGAGCAATTATATATGTAATGCTCTGCCATTAATACATTGAATCCACAATTATGCATGTTCTGTAAATGATACATCTATAAAAACAATAAAAACAAATTTGGCTTTACCAGATACCAGCAAAACTTTTATCACATTGTGGGCCTTTGGAAATATTTCTGCCATCAAGCATATTTAAGATGATTTCCAAGGTCTTGCAAAATTGACTACATATGTTGAAGACCGAATAAAAATGAAGGATGCTCTATTAGTGTCAGTTTTCTTAATAGTAGTATAGATTATTAAGCTCCACTAGGATCTTACACATGTATCTTTACATTATTATTATTATTATAATATATATTTTTTCTTTCTTGAGACAGAGTCTCACTCTGTCGCCCTGGAGTGCAGTGGTGCAATCTTGGCTCATTGCACCTTCCACCTCCCAGGCTCAAGCGATTCTCATGCCTTGGCCTTCTGAGTAGCTGGGATTACAGGCATGCACCACTATGCCTGACTAGTTGTTTTTTTTTGTTTTGTTTTGTTTTGGAGACGGAGTCTCTCTCTGTCGCCCAGGCCAGAGTGTAGTGGCATGATCTCAGCTCACCGAAACCTCTGTCTCCTGAGTTCAAGTGATTCTCCTGCCTCAGCCTCCTGAGTAGCTGGGACTACAGGCGCCCGCCACCACGCCAGCCTAATTTTTTGTAGTTTTAGTAGAGCCAGGGTTTCACCATGTTGGCCAGGCTGGTCTCAAACTCCTGACCTGAGGTGATCTGCCCGCCTCGGCCTCCCAAAGTGCAGGGATTACAGGCATGAGCAACTGTGCGCAGCCCATTATTTGGCAAAATAGTTTTTTGAAAATACTCTTTTGTTATAAGGCTATGAACAAAGTAAATATCTTCTAAGGACTTTTTTTTTTGTTAATTCCAAGCTTGTAGTCACATACAGTTTAAAGTGTTCTTATTTTTTTAAATCTTTATACAAATGATTATTCCATGTCTTTCATTCACATCTTCATCTGGCAGACACTTCCTTCGTTGGTGAAGTTAAGATAAAATAAATTTTTATTACACTTGGCAGACCTTGGGATAAGGTGGCGTATAGTGAGATAAGCTGCTTATTAGGAGAAGGTAGGCAGATATTAGATTATAAATTCATAGAGTAATTTATTATGTAAATTTAAAAATTAAATGTAACAAATATGACTTTTATTGCACAATCATTTTACAATAAGTATTTGTTTATTCCTCTGAAATTTATTTTATCTTAACTTTGTAATAATCTGGAACTAAACATCAGGAGTACAGAAAAAAATACTTACTTGTTCCTGAGGAATTTAAAGGCTAATAATAGAAGGAAGAGTCAATTTAAACAGGTGAAAGTAATATAATGTGGCTCAAAGGAATCTTGAAAATGTTTTACAGCAGTCCAAAAGAGAATAATTGGCTCTCTTTGAATAATATGCTTAAGCTTATTATTTATATGCTTATATGAAAATAAATATATTAATACTGATAAATAAGAACAGCTATATTAATTTAATGTTTATTGTGTACTAGGGAATGTGCTGTTTTGCACAGTTTTAAGTTGGGGGATGCTCTTCATTGTGTGGAATTAGAAACAGTTTTCAAGAAGTTAGATAATAGTTTCAAAGTCTCACAACTTGGGAAAAATGCGATTCAAATTCAGGTATTTTGTTACATTTAACTGTGTTTAAATTTAAAACATGGAAAGATGGTACTAGGGGAGAACTCTGTTGTGGAGAGAGTGTCAGTGTGAGTCAGGAAACTCGAAGTTTTAGCCCCAACTATGCCATTTTTTTTTTGGTTTTTTTTTGGCCTTATGACTTTAAGTCACAATTTACACTGAGTTTGATAAATTAGATATAATTATACTCACATCCTGTATCATGGATTTTTTGTAGCATTGGTAGATGAAACCATGTTTAAGCAAGAAAGCACTATAGAAATTAAGGTATTTTACAACTCCAGCTAATATCACTCTCCAATGATTTTGTTTGTTTTCAATTTACTGGTCATACTATGCTTTGTTAAATGCTACTATCAGGTATGTCTTTCTCTACCTTGCCAACTGACGCCTATTCATCCTTCAAAACCTCATGAACTTTTAAGATCCTCTGAAATGCCTCTTTCATTCTCATGTTGTATGTGCTCATTGTACTTGATACAAGAGGAGAATTATAGCACGTAACCACTCCGTGTTGGTGTGATTGCTCTTGGTCTATCAGATCTGCCACTAGACTGTGAGATGATTACTTTATCCCCAGTTCCTGGAAAATACTGAATACTTCATGAATTGGTGTAGACATAAAAATTAAGATTTCAAAATAAAATATATTGGTTCAAATATATGCATTCTTATGGTTAACTTGGTTAGGCAAGAACCTTGTATTACAGTCTGTAAACAGTGAGAATGCCTTTCAAAAGGAGAAAATGGACTTTGATTATTTTCAAAAGGATATTAGATTTATAATACTCAAGAAAAAAAGACAATTCAGAAGGAAGAATAAAATTATTTTTGCTCTGAAAAAAGAGAGAATGAATTAACAATTCTAGTAACAGGGTTCATCATCATTTATTTTTAAGTTTGCTATTTGAAAACTTTTTTAACTTAATTGTTTAGTGTGGATTCCCTACCTCATCCCCCAAAATTTCATATTTCACTATTCTTTCCACAGCATTAGTTTATGCTCTTAGATTTTCTTGGATAACTCAGTATATATCTCTTTCTGTTAAATTTAAAACATATTTATTATCAACATTGCATACCGTATATTGGAAGGCAAAAGTATTTTCCCATTATGTAATGTTATTTATAAACCAAACTGAGGAAAACCTTCACAGCCTCAGTAGAGAGGAGATAATAGTGTTTTTAAATTCATTCTTTCTGCATATTTTATCATAAATCATTTTAGGACACACCTTTTTAATGCACAGATGCTCTTAATTAGATCAGCATTGTCATAGAAACTATGCTCTCTTTTTGACTATTGCCAACAGCAGCAAAACATCCATTTCCTTATAATTGATTCTCAAGTTTATTTAAAACGTTCTATATGAGGCATAGCCTATTGAAATGACTCACCATGTTTATGGGAATACTGGAGGATAAGAGTTATTTTTGAATGATTTTATCATATTAAATGTAGAATAGAAATATAAACTTTGAAAAATATGTAATAATAATTTTTACTATATGGTTTCAATAACTTTTCAATTTTAAAAGTATTGCTCTTTATAACGATATGAGTAGTTAAATCCAAAAACAACACTGGGAGAGCCTCCATGAACTAAATATTGGACTGGGCTTTAGAAATATACAAATAAATGAAAACTTACCTGTTTTCTCAGGAACATCCCGAATCAGATCAGTAAGTATCTGTATTGTCACATTACTTCACAGAAGTTCAAAAGATCCAGGATACAGGTACTCTCTTCTAACTTATTTAAGAACAATGAGAACACATGGACACAGGAAGGGGAACATCACACACCGGGGCCTGTTGTGGGGTGGGGGGAGGGGGGAGGGATAGTATTAGGAGGTATACCTAATGTTAAATGATGAGTTAATGGGTGCAGCACACCAACATGGCACATGTATACATATGTAACTAACCTGCACGTTGTGCACGTGTACCCTAGAACTTAAAGTATAATAAATAAATAAAAAAAAGAAGTCAAAAAAAAAAAAAAGAAAATTCTCATTTCACCATTCTTCAGGCAAAGAAATTGCAATTCCTATTGCAAAGGTAAATTCATTTATACACTTAACAAATATTTGGGTTTCCAGTAAATGAAAACACAAAAATGGGTTAAGGGGCTATTAATTATTTTCAATGCTTCCACTCTAATAAATAACAATGGCTAACAGTTGCTATAAAATAGTGTTTTAACATACCAAGAACCATAAAAAAAGTGTTTGCAAAATGAATAGATCATATGAGAGAGTTTCAAAAATGTTTTTTCAAAAATGTTTCCCCAAAATATATTTTCTTCTTTTACACTCCTCTCTTTTAGAGAAAATCTTCTCTTTGAAGCCAGAGCAGTGGATTTTACAACCTGTATATTTCACTTCTTTCTATCTTTTGTGCACTAAATTACCTCCTGTTACTTTCAAGTCTGTTAAACAGATTGAAAACAACTGCTTTAAAGGAAAGGCCATCACCTTTGAAGCCTGACATGGCTGGATTACAATCTTCACTTTTATTTTCTAGATGAGTGAGCCAATTACATAACTTTCTTAATCCTCAGTATTCACATCTGTAAAATGAGGTGATAATACCTGGTTTACCCTGGATTAAATTATGCAGTGCACTTATAGCACCTAGTAAAATGTCCCAGCACTTTAATGGCTGCCCTTTTATAGCATGATTTTCAAGTGGGACATTAAAAAGGGATTAATAAAGTAATTATAAGTACAATTGGACTAGATATGGCTGGATAGGGATACAATGAATTGTAAGTGCCATGGTGAAAAGCGTGAGAAAAGAGCCATAAAGTGAAATCTCCCTGCTCTAGTTTGATTGGAAAAGAAAAGCTGTGCTTTCAAGTGAGGGAAATAAGCCTGGAGGGCATAGTTTGGAACATTCTTGTGATGGGCCTTAAATGCCAGGCTGAGAAGTGACACTTACCTTGCTGGGCAATTGAAAGCTATTGAACATTTTCAGACACAGGAGTAACATGATCATAATTGTCCTTTAAGATTAAAATTGGGTTAGCCTATGAATGAAAGAGAATGGAGAGAGGCTGGAGGCTGAGAGGCAATTTAGGAGATGATTACTCAAGTCAAAGTTAATAAGAATCTGTCTTAGACTGGGGAAATATCAGAGAAAAATAGGAAGTTGATAGTACATGAATGATTAGAAGGATTTAATAGATCGTTATTTGTGGGGAACAAAAAAAAGGAATGGTTTTGGGGGGAAAAGGTGAGAAGTAGGAGAGAGTTTGGGTTAGAAAATAACAGGATTTGGGACTCCATATTTAAACAGTGATTTGCATTTTTTTTTCTGAGTATTTTCGTGTCTTTTCCTGGGCCTAGGATAATAATATCAAGGAAAGATCATTGTCTCAATGTATCGGAGTGCATAAAAGCTAAGAAGATAAGTGACTTACTCACCATCCCTCAGCTAATAACAGACTTTAAATTTCTGGCTCCTACATTACAACTGTATTCACTACTCTGACTTGGATGTTGACAGGACAGGGAACACCTCAGAGGGAAATGCCCAGCCTTCTCCTGATATTTAAGACTGGTATTTTGAACTTGGGAGAGGTAAATTGTTATATGAGTCATCAAAATTGTTATATGAGTCATCAAGATGGAATCCACAGTCAAGGATAAAATTGTCAAAGGGATGAGTACTAAAAGAGAAGCAGTTTGGTGTGGAGCCCTTGAGGAACAGGTGCTTTCTGAAAGCAAGCAGAGGAGAAACAAACACAAACAATTTAATCTGAATGATCAAAAGTGATTTCAAGTAAGGCAGAAATGTGTAGGTTAAGGAAGGGGGATCTTTAAAAAAGAAGGAAATTAGTATAGAGAGGTTTAATGAATGAAGCTTGAAAAAGACCACTTGAATAGAAAACTCCTGAAGACTTTAAAGAGAATGTTTTTATTATACTAATGGGAGATAAAAGCAAAATTAAGGTCATATTGTAATGAAATCTAGAGACATAGAATACTTACCCTGTGAGTTATAGTAATATTTATTTGTATTCGAGTTTCTGTTTTAAGGCAACAGACATTTGTATGATTTTTATGTTATAAAGAAAGAAACAATGTCACTGTTGAAATCTCAGAAACACTAACAAAAATAACAAATTTCAGTTTTTTTCTTTTTCCCAAAGAAATACCTGGAACTCTTAAGGATATTTATAGACATGTAATTCAGTGTAAACTCTATTTCATATTGTAATATTTATGATTTATTATACTTTTCTGCCAAATAATTTCATATTTACTCTTCCTTAGGATATATGTCCATATCACAGAATGTGGTAATTAAATATGAATGTTAAATTGGTTTACTGATTTTCAGATTTGCCCACACAAGTGAGCAAGAATTCAGTGACTGAAATCTTGCTTTGTAAGCTCAGAAACTCAATTTTATTACATTGTCTACTGTTGGTAAAATTGATTATATAAGGTCAACGCTATAAGGGTTGAGACCATATTTTCTTCAACTGTGAATCTAGCACAAGGTCTTGTACATAGCAAGTGTTCATAAATGAATTGATAAATAAAGAAAGGCATAGAATGTATACTAACTTATAATGTAGTATACAAGGTAATAATTTATTTCTAAAACTACTCTTTATAAATTTCAAATGCCAGTTACTTTCATCTGCCAAGTTACTCAATAAGAGTAATTTGTTTAAAACATTTTCTTCTGTGTGTGTTAGTCTGTTTAGGAATTCTGATTAAAATTTAGAAAGTAAGCAAGTATAGTTTAGGTAGATTTGGACGTTCTTTGACTTAATAATTTATAAATTTTTTCTTAGGGTGGGCTTCTCTTGCATTATTGGTATCTGTATCATTCTAAAGATGAATAAACAGACTTAGGAAGGTTCAATAGCATGGATTAAATTACATAAGTAATATGAAATGTAGATTTAGAATGCCAAATACATGATTCCCATGAGGCATTCATGCACTTGCCAAAAAATGCCCTGGATGGGTTTAATTACAGATAACAAATGACCAAGATGAAAATTGATAACCAGGGTCATATCTTGATATCAGCTAAATTAGAACCCCAAGACAAGTTCTGTCATTACTGAAAATTAAAATTTCAAATTATAAACATTAAGATATGAACCATCTGAGCCTGAATGTGATTATCTAGGCTTTCAATAAAGCAAGATTATGTATTTGCCCTGTTCTTAGATTTTGTGCTTGTTTTCATGGTGTTTTCAAATTTCAACCAGTAGTTTCAACCACATGTTTCAAACCTTGATTATATATGAACATACTATACTGATCCTTTTACATTAAAATTAAAGATGAACAAATTGAATGTATAATGTCAGTTAATAAAACTACATAGGTTTATTTTTGTCTTTACAGAGTAAAATTTTAGTCATTCACTTATTTATCCTTATACAGGTACCTTCCAAAAGAATAGCTCATAGATATTTTATTTTCGGAATGAAAGGCAATTACATTGCTTGGGAATTACATGAAGAAACTAGTGCTTTGGATTTCAAATTTTTTAAAAAATATATTCAGTCAGTGAGATAGTCAACAAAGCGAGAGTTAGAGTATTGGTGTACATGTCCTCTAGGGAATATTGAATAAAAATTATAAGAAAAACAACTTGAAAAGATACCCATAATTGAAACCAGGAAAATAATTAATTACCCTAAATTGTAACAGAGAACTAATTGGGGACAATTTATTAAATGAGAAAGGAAGAAAATTGTAATGATAGTTTGAAACCTGAGTGGGGAGGATGTTGACGGATCAAGAGTAAATTAATTGAAACAATATTAACCAAGATATTTTTTTCTTCTCTATGTGTCAATAAATAATGATTTTTCCTTTACTTTTTAAATTTAATTTATAATTTAGGGATGGACACTGATTTAATACACCAATTAAATGAGCAACATATAGACTCTTATCACAGTATGGTTTAAATACACTATACTATACAAAAAAATCTCAAATTCCTTTCGTCCAATTTGAGATATACAATGCCTTGTTTTTCTGAATAAAACTTCTGGTAATTTGTATGCCAGTTATCAAACAGGTACATAAAGTTTAAAAACAGCTTTTGTTTCAAAGGACATCTGTGTTATGGCTAGAATAGACATCGAACATTTAGTAAACAATGCTATAAAATATAAACTAGGCCTTTAAAGGATAAAGGGTTCTTTTGTGTCTTACCAATTTCTGTAATAAAATGTATCAGAAAGCAATAGCTAAAAGAAAACCTTTTAATGCATTTCAGATGTGTCATATGTAGTTATAACATATATTAATGATTTTGAAGAAATTAAAGTCAATGAATTATATAACTATCCTTGTAGTAAAAGCATAAGATGGAATTGACTTAACTCTATACTTGTAACCATACTTAATGCAGGTTTATTATTAGATAATTCGGATATGACCAAAAATGATATTATAATCAGTTATTGTTTTAGAACTACACTTTGAAATGAAGCTCATAGGCAATCAATTTTACATTTAGAACTTATAATTTGACAGAATTCTAACTGAGGAATTAAACCTCCTCAAATATTTGGTAAACTATTTGCATAGTTACCTAAATTTTGTATGAAATAGATAATTTTTTTCAAAATTCCTTTAAAACCAACCCTGCCTTTCTCATTCTCTACAGATTTCTTTTCTTATTTTCCTGAAAAGGTTGAAGTTCTTTGATGAGAGATTTCTTCATTTCCTTTGTATTTTAAGATCACTCTATAGCAACCTTTATCAATCTCTTTTCCTTTTTCTTATCTTTCATTGAACAATCAAAACCTTTCCCCAAATTTCCTCTTTTGGCTCCTTCTTTCCCCACCTCATGCTGCCATCTAAACCTTTGGATAATTTATTTTCACTCTCAGTTGCTGTACAAACACGATCATCTTCTGTCACTCCTGAATTCAGTGGTTGAAGACAGACCTACACACCACTCCACAGGACCACCTCACTCATCACAGTCACCAAAGACATCTGTGGTTCTAAATTTCATGGTCTTTATCTTACAATACTTGACAAACTTTTCTAATAATGTAGATATGTACACATGCATCACATTACTGTTCCTGTTCAGATGTAGGTTAAAAAGTCCTGTTGTAAGAGAAAAACTTTTTTGAATACTTGATTTTGATTGAAATTTTATATATAAGATACCATTATTTCCTCTCAATTGTTGGATTATCAGTGGATGATCCAGGAAGACATTTCTTCCCCCAGCATCCTCTGTACAGTAGGTGGGTATGCATACATAGGTGTGGGGAGTTTTATTTTAACTCAGTAACATCCTTAAATAGTCTTGAATTGTTCTACACTTGTGTTCTGTGAAAGAATACTGCTTTAGTTTTTTCCTTCCAATTTTTCTGGCCTCTCTTTTAGTCTTCCTTATGGGCTTCTGATCCACTTCATTTCAAGTTTATATATATGTATATATATATATATGAGATAGTTATTTGTTTTATATATATATATATATAAACTTGAAGTGGATCAGAAGCCCATAAAGAAATATATATATATACACATTAATTATATATATTATATACTGCATATAGTATATATAATATACATAATTATATATATTTATATACTGATGATAATTATATATTTATATATAACAAATCCCTTAATTTTTCAAGTGTTTTAAAAAACAATTTTATACTTAAACCAGCCTTGAAGATAAGCACAAAATTTACCAGTCTACATTGTTTTTGAAACCATGGCAACTCTAGCACCCACTCTGCGTATAGCACTATTCTAGGTAGAATACTAGGGAATCCTAACCTTAGAAACATGATTTCACTTTCTGGAATTGCATTATTTCCGTTTACAGAGATTAAAAATAATTAGAACCACCATGCTTACTACTTACTTACTATCTGCCCCAGCCCCTTCTGATTCAAAGGAAGTCTCATTTCTGCCAAATTCTTCTTCTCATTTTACTACTTCCTGGTGAATTTCATCTAATTTAGTCATTTCAATGAGGCTCTGATATGGACTGAGAATGTGATATTTTGTGTTCCCATAAAAATTTATGTGTTGAAAGTTCATTTGCTGTGATGGTATTAGAAGGTGAAGCCTTTGGGAACTGATTAGGTCATGAAGGTGGTGCCCTCATAATAGAATTAGTGCTTGTATAAAGGGCTAAATATAAGTTCTCACCTTCCACGACATGAGGATACAGTGAAAAAAGTCCATCTTGTGAATTAGGAAGTGAGTCTTCACCACACACTAACTCTGTGAGCACCTTGTTCTTGGACTTTGCAGCTCACAGAACCGTGAGAAATAAATGTATGCTATTTATAAGCCACCAAATTTATGTTATGCTGTTGTAACAGACTAAATGGATTAAGACAGCATCCGTGTACTGATTACATTAAACCTCTATGTTGTAGAGAGGTAAACTCTTAACTTTTAATTCTCTAGCTTTCAGCTGCAGCTTTGTGTTTTTAGTTTCCCAATGGAAATCTATGCTATTCTATATAAAGAAATATTTCACACTCAATATGTCCTAAATCAAACTCATTTATGCTGCCCCAAACTGATTCTACCTCTTGTATTGTCTCTGAATGAATAGTGACACCTTTCACTCTATCTTTATTAATCAGATACTAAATTTCTTAATGTTTGTTCTTTAATATCTGGCCAATCTTTTACCTTCTCTCCACCCCTACTTCTGCTGCTTTGTTGCAGGCTTTATTTGTCTCTCACCTAGATGACTTCAAAAGCCTCCTGAATGTTCTCCCTGCCTCAAAGTTTATTTTCCTCTACATGTAGTCTTCATGTTATAGACAGAATAGTCTTTAGATTGCAATTACAATTATTTGTATTGTCATGGAGTAAAATCCAGACAATAAAATCTTTAGCATGGCATACAAAATCATTTGCAACATGGCTTCTGTCCATTTTCTGTCACGTCAGAACCACACTTTGTGTTGTTTTCTGAGCTCCCTGAACTCTTCCCCATAGGTCGTGATCTCTCTTGAACCTGAGACTTTTCACATGTGGCTCTCTCAGATATTAATCATCTTCATTCTCCATTTTCTACCTCTAGTATTCTATTTCTCCTTTTCAATATTTAGCTTAAAATCCAAGAAATATTTCTTGATCTTTGTAGGCTGACCTAGATGTTTGTTCTACTGCTTCTGTTCATCATCTAATGGTAATTCCTTGTATATTGGTTTGTGTTCTCACCTTCAGTGATCAGTTCTGAGATCACGTTTTTCACCTCCCAAATAAAGATTAAAAAAACTACCTCACACAAATGTTTTAAATAAGAACGCATATATAGTATACTTTGCACAGTGTTTGAAAAATATTTTTTCTAACATTAGGCTCAGGATCTCTGCTTCTGGTGGCATCTCATTAAGGTTTCTCTCAAATTCTGACCTTTTAATAATCCCATTTATAGCTCTTGATTTCCAGCTCTTCATAATGACTGCTTCTTTGCTGTTAGTCCCAAAATATTTTCTGATTTCTTCCATTCCCAAATGTCTAAGTCAACCCAGCAATCTTCCTAACTTACCATTCTTTGTTAGTAGCTCAAGTTGCTTTAATAAAATATGATATACTGGTGGCTTAAACAACAGACATTTGTTTCTCACAGTTTCAGAGGCTGAAAAGTTTAAGATCAAGGTGCTGGCAGATTCAATTCTTGCTGAGGGTCATCTTCTGGCTTGCAGAAGGCCATTTTCTTTTCACCATATTCTCGCATGACAGAGGGAGAAAACTCTTGTGTCTCTTCTGTTTCTAAAAGCATAAATTCCATCATGGATGATCGACCTTCATGATCTCATTGCAACCTAATTGCCTTTTAACAATCTCACCTTCCAATACCATTGCTTTGGATGTTAGGGATTCAATATATGAATTTGGGGGAACACAAACATTGATTCATAACACATCTAATCTGTGTCATGACCTTAAAAACCTTAATATATTAAGTCTATGCCCACAGGAGAACTTATTTGTCACACATTCATTTTAACCTCCTTGTAATATACTTTGCATCCTTACTTCTCATCCTAGGTTCTCTGCAGAATCTATTGGTTCTTTTGCAGTTAATGCCTTTAACCATTCAGTATTATTTAATAACTTTTGCAGGAACTTGTATTTTGTACCATTCTTCTGAGTTGTGTCCTAGGCATCTTCCTGGGTTTCTTTCTAAGGTTGACCTTCCTACTCCCCCTTGCTAAATCTCTTCTGCTTTTCTCTCTTCAGTCTGCCCCTTAATTCCAAATATAGTGAAAATGGAAAATCATTTCTTTTCCTAGACTCTCTCTCTCTCCAAGGTGTTGGACTGAATTATCACATGTCCACCTGAAGGACCTCCAGGACTCCAAATTTGGCATGGCTAAAGTTGATGTCAAATTCTTCCTCCAACAACTAGATCCAATTTATAAATTCCCTTACTAGTTTGGTGATCATAGTCAAGTTACTCAGCCTCCCAGTGCCTCTGTCTCCTCAACTGTAAAATGGGAATTAAAAAGTATCTAATTTCAAAGGCTGCTGTGCAAATTAAAGAAGTCACTTTATGTGATATATGTGAACTGGTACCCTGGAAATAGAACAGATGGTGATGGTGGTATGTGCCTGTTTGTTATTTTTAGCATTCCTTTTTTCTTTTAAAGCTTAACACTTTTTATTTGATCACTGGCTTCAATATTTAGTTCTTTTTCACCTCAGTCTTCTTTATTTTATTATCTGCCAAAATCTTAGTTCTGGTGCTTTTATTCTGCATTTCATATTCTATTTCTATTAATGCTGTTAACTTGTCTCTTTGCTTTTATCTTCTAATTTTTAACCAGGACAAGTCTAACTTATCTATTTTATGTTTCTTATACATTCAATACACTGATTTTAAGTTGAGTATACAGTTGCTGTCTTGCTAATGTATTGCTTTTGCATTTTTTTGTATAATTAAATAAATATTTCTTGGTTTCCATTTTTTTCTACCAAGTGTTAGTTTCACTGAAATCACCTCCTTGCCCCCATACTTGCTACTTTTGTTAAGCACAAATGTGTTACTTTAATGTCAACGCTTAACATAAAATAAGCACAAGAAGAAATGTTGGCAATACTTATTACAGCCTCCATTACACATTGGTTGTTATGTATATGTAATGGAAAAAATAATAACAGTTTATCCACATGTGCCGTTTAACACTTCAGAGATGACAGCAGTGACTTTAAGAGAGGGGGGCAGGGCAAGCACTAAACTATAATGAAAGGAGAATGGAAGTAGAATTATGGACACATTTTCTTGGGAAAAAGTAAGTTACCAAAAATATATTGAATAAGGCATTAAAAGGGCTGTATTTTCATTATATTCTGCAAAAAACACACCTATAACATATGAGCACACCTGAAAGGCTAGGTTTTACATGAACAATCAATTATTATAAAGTTCTTAAACATTTATTTTAAGTATTTATTGTTAATATTTAAGAAATTGCATTCTTTACTGATACACCTTTAGGCAAAAATTAAAGTAGAATATACCATATACCAGACATACACTTCCAAAAACTATTAGAAAATATTAACTTAGGGCTAAGAGTTCTGTTAAGTTGTGGATTTTTTAATTTTAATTTTTATTTTACTCTAAGTTCCAGAATACATGGGCAGAACATGCAGGTTTGTTGCATAAGTATACATGTGCCATGGCGGTTTGCTGCACCCATCACTTAGGTTTTAAACCCTGCATACATTAGGTATTTGTGCTAATGATCTCCCTCCATTTGCCCCCAACCCCCTGACAAGCTGTGGTGTGTGATGTTCCTCTCCCTGTGCCTATGTGTTCTCATTGTTCACCTCCCACTTATGAGTGAGAACATACAGTGTTTGACTTTCTGTTCCTGTTAGTTTGCTGAGAATGATAGTTTCCAGCTTGCTTTCCCTCTTGTTGATACAAAAAAAAAGTTAGTTTTAGAAAAAACAACAACAAAAAACAAAAACTACATTGTTTTCTCAACTTCTTAACATGTGTTAAATCCATGAAGTTAGCTATCAGAAATTTTTAGAGAATGAAGACAATCAAGTGAGCATGGAACTCAGAAAATAAAGAGCTTTGTTTGCCTCTTAGAAGTTATTGGAGAGAATCCATGCCCAAGGAGATATATAGAGTATTTTTCTGCTTGTCTCTGAAGCTCTTGCTGAGTCAGTGACCCTTAGACATCTGATTCAGAGGCTACCTTAACCTGGCTTTTTCAGACCTTGCCCTCTAAACTCCAATTAATCCTCTTGTTTGCTAACTCCTTCGAAACATGTCCTACTTTACTATAGCCTGACTTCAATATAGTTCCTGCACCTACTTCCCCTCACAGGCATGTGCATGGCCAGCAGTTTGGTGTCCAAACCATCTTCTCAATAATAAATTACTTATAATTCTACATTCTATTACATTTTTCCCCTGATCTAGAGTAAGAAAGTAGAACAAGATGGGTGAACCCTTTATATAAGTAAATTCAATTCACATATTTAATTGTCAAATAACTCTGCATTTTTCCTTTTCCAAGCTTATGAAGTAAATGTCACTACTTTTATTTTACATGTAAGGGAACATAAATCCAAATTTGTTAAATGATTTTCCTAGGAATGTACTGTAAGTAGGTTGCATAGGTGAGATTCAGTCCACACCTATATGAGATTCCATCATACATTTCTGCCTCTAGTGACAGCTGTTTGAAAATCAGTCTTAGAATAAACATTTAGAAGGAGAATCTGGAAGGTAGAACAGCAATGTGAAAATTGTTCTTTGCTCTCCTCTCTATATGTCCGTACTCTTTTAGCCCCTGTTAGGGTCTTTCTATCATTTCATTAAGATAATGTAAACAGAGGGGGTGGAGCCAAGATGGCCAAATAGGAACAGCTCCAGTCTACAGCTCCCAGCATGAGCGACGCAGAAGATGGGTGATTTCTGCATGTCCAACTGTGGTACTGGGTTCATCTCACTTGGGAGTGTCGGAAAGTGGGTGCAGGACAGTGGGTGCAGTGCACTGAGCATGAGCCAAAGCAGGGTGAGGCATTGCCTCACCTGGGAAGTGAAAGGGGTCAGGGAATTCCTAGTCAAAGAAATTCCCTTTCCTAGTCAAAGAAAGAGGTGACAGATAGCACCTGGAAAATAGGGTCACTCTCACCCTAATACTGTGCTTTTCCAATGGTCTTAGCGAACGGCACACCAGGAGATTATATCCCACGCCTGGCTCAGAGGGTCCCACGCCCACGGAGCCTCACTCATCGCTAGCACAGCAGTCTGACATCAAACTGCAAGGTGGCAGCGAGGCTGGGGGAGGGGTGCCCACCATTGCCTAGGCTTCAGTAGGTAAACAAAGCAACCTTGAAGCTCGAATTGGGTGGAGCCCACTGCAGCTCAAGGAGGCCTGCTGGCTTCTGTAGAATCCACCTCTGGGGGGAGGGCATAGCCAAACAAAAGGCAGCAGAATCCTCTGCAGACTTAAATGTCCCTGCCTGACAGCTTTGAAGAGAGTAGTGGTTCTCCCAGCAGGCAGCTGGAGATCTGACAACAGACAGACTACCTCCTCAAGTGGGTCCCTGACCCCTGAGTAGCCTAATTGGGAGGCACCCCCCAGTAGGGGCAGACTGACAACACACATGGCTGGGTTCTCCTCTGAGACAAAACTTCCAGAGGAACGATCAGGCAGCAACATTTGCTGTTCACCAATATCCGCTGGTCTGCAGCCTCTGCTGCTGATACCCAGGCAAACAGGGTCTGGAGTGGACCTCCAGCAAACTCCAACAGACCTGCAGCTGAGGGTCCTGACTGTTAGAAGGAAAACTAACAAACAGAAAGGACATCCACACCGAAACCCCATCTGTATGTCACCATCATCAAAGACCAAAGGTAGAAAAAACCACAAAGATGGGGAAAAAACAGAGCAGAAAAACTGGAAACTCTAAAAATCAGAGCACCTCTCCTCCTCCAAAGGAACACACCTCCTCACCAGCAACAGAACAAAGTAGGACAGAGAATGACTTTGAAGACCTGAGAGAAGAAGGCTTCAGATGATCAAACTACTCTGAGCTAAAGGAGGAAGTTCAAACCCATGGCAAAGAACTTAAAAACCTTGAAAAAAAATTAGATGAATGGCTAACTAGAATAACCAATGCAGAGAAGTCCTTAAAGGACCTAATGGAGCTGAAAACCAAGGTATGAGAACTATGTGACAAATGCACAAGCCTCAGTAGCTGATTCGATCAACTGGAAGAAAGGGTATCAGTGACGGAAGATCAAATGAATTAAATGAAGCGAGAAGAGAAATTTAGAGAAAAAAGAATAAAAGAAACCAACAAAGCCTCCAAGAAATATGGGACTATGTGAAAAGACCAAATCGACGTCTGATTTGTGTACCTGAAAGTGATGGGGAGAATGGAACAAAGTTGGAAAACACTCTGCAGGATATTATCCAGGAGAACTTCCCCAATCTAGCAAGACAGGCCAACATTCAGATTCAGGAAATACAGAGAACACCACAAAGATACTCCTCGAGAAGAGCAACTCCAAGACACATAATTGTCAGATTCACAAAATTGAAATGAAGGAAAAAATGTTAAGGGCAGCCAGAGAGAAAGGTCGGGTTACCCACAAAGTGAAGCCCATCAGACTAACAGCTGATCTCTTGGCAGAAACTCTACAAGCCAGAAGAGAGTGGGGGTTAATATTCAACATTCTTAAAGAAAAGAATTTTCAACCCAGAATTTCATATCCAGCCAAACTAAGCTTCATAAGTGAAGGAGAAATAAAATACTTTACAGACAAGCAAATGCTGAGAGATTTTGTCACCACCAGGCCTGCCCTAAAAGAGCTCCTGAAGGAAACACTAAACGTGGAAAGGAACAACCGGTACCAGCCACTGCAAAAACATGCCAAATTGTAAAGACCGTCGAGGCTAAGAAGAAACTGAATGAACTAACGAGCAAAATAACGAGCTAACATCATAATGACAGGATCAAATTCACACATAACAATATTAATCTTACATGTAAATGGACTAAATGCTCCAATTAAAAGATACAGACTGGCAAATTGGATAAAGAGTCAAGACCCATCAGTGTGCTGTATTCAGGAAACCCATCTCACTTGCAGAGACACACATAGGCTCAAAATAAAAGGATGGAGGAAGATCTACGAAGCAAATGGAAAACAAAAAAAGGCAGGGGTTGCAATCCTAGTCTCTGATAAAACAGACTTTAAACCGACAAAGATCAAAAGAGACAAAGAAGGCCATTACATAATGGTAAAGGGATCAATTCAACAAGAAGAGCTAACTATCTTAAATATATATGCACCCAATATAGGAGCACCCAGATTCATAAAGCAAGTCCTTAGAGACCCACAAAGAGACTTAGACTCCCACACAATAATAATGGGAGACTTTAACACCCCACTGTCAACATTAGACAGATCAACAGACAGAAAGTTAACAAGGGTATCCAGGAACTGAACTCAGCTCTGCACCAAGGGGACATAATAGACATCTACAGAACTTTCCCCCCAAATCAACAAAATATACTTTCTTTTCAGCACCACACCACACCTATTCCAAAATTGACAACATAGTTGGAAGTAAAACACTCCTCAGCAAATGTAAAAGAACAAATTATAACAAACTGTCTGTCAGATCACAGTGCAATCAAACTAGAACTCAGGATTAAGAAACTCACTCAAAACCGCTCAACTACGTGGAAGCTGAACAACCTGCTCCTGAATGACTACAGGGTACATAATGAAATGAAGGCAGAAATAAAGATGTTCTTTGAAACCAAGGAGAACAAAGACACAACATACCAGAAACTCTGGGACACATTCAAAGCAGTGTGTAGAGGGAAATTTATAGCACTAAATGCCCACAGGAGAAAGCAGGAAAGATCTAAAATTGACACGCTAACATCACAATTAAAAGAACTAGAGAAGCAAGAGAAAACACATTCAAAAGCTAGCAGAAGGCAATAAATAACTAAGATCAGAGCAGAACTGAAGGAAATAGAGACACAAAAAACCCTTCAAAAAATCAATGAATCCAGGAGCTGGTTTTTTGAAAAGATCAACAAAATTGATAGACCACTAGCAAGACTAATAAAGAAGAAAAGAGAGAAGAATCAAATAGATGCAATAAAAAATGATAAAGGGGATATCACTACCGATCCCACAGAAATACAAACTACCATCAGAGAATACTATAAAAGCCTCCATGCATATAAATTAGAAAATCTAGAAGAAATGGATAAATTCCTTGACACATACACCCTCCCAAGACTAAACCAGGAAGAAGTTGAATCTCTGAATAGACCAATAACAGGCTCTGAAATTCAGGCAATAATTAATAGCTTACCAACCAAAAAAAGTCCAGGACCAGATGGATTCACAGCTGAATTCTACCAGAGGTACAAGGAGGAGCTGGTACCATTCCTTCTGAAACTATTCCAATCAATAGAAAAAGAGGGAATCCTCCCTAACTCATTTTATGAGGCCAGCATCATCCTGATACCAAAGCCTGGCAAAGACACAACAAAAAATGACTATTTTAGACCAATATCCCTGATAACCATCAATGCAAAAATCCTCAATAAAATACTGGCAAACCGAATCCAGCAGCACATCAAAAAGCTTATCCAGCATGATCAAGTGGGCTTCATCCCTGGGATGCAAGGCTGGTTCAACATATGCAAATCAATAAATCTAATCCAGCATATAAACAGAACCAAAGACAAAAACCACTTGATTACCTCAATAGATGCAGAAAAGGCCTTTGATAAAATTCAACAGCCCTTCATGCTAAAAACTCGCAATAAATTAGGTATTGATGGGACGTATCTCAAAATAATAAGAGCTATCTATGACAAACCCACAGCCAATATCGTACTGAATGGGCAAAAACTGGAAGCATTCGCTTTGAAAACTGGCACAAGACAGGGATGCCTTCTCTCACCACTCCTATTCAACATAGTGTTGGAAGTTCTGGCCAGGGCAATCAGGCAGGAGAAAGAAATGAAGGGTATTCAGTTAGGAAAAGAGGAAGTCAAATTGTCCCTGTTTGCAGAAGACATGATTGTATATCTAGAAAACCCCATTGTCTCAGCCCAAAATCTCCTTAAGCTGATAAGCAACTTCAGAAAAGTCTCAGGATACAAAATCAATGTGCAAAAATCACAAGCATTCTTATACACCAATAGCAAACAGCCAAATCATGAGTGAACTCCCATTCACAATTGCTTCAAAGAGAATAAAATACCTAGGAATCCAACTTACAAGGGATGTGAAGGACCTCTTCAAGGAGAACTGCAAACCACTGCTCAAGGAAATAAAAGAACGGAAGAACATTCCATGCTCATGGGTAGGAAGAATCAATATCGTGAAAATGGCCATACTGTCCAAGGTAATTTGTAGATTCAATGCCATCTCCACCAAGCTACCAATGACTTTCTTCACAGAATTGGAAAAAACTACTTTAAATTTCATATGGAACCAAAAAAGAGACCACCTTGCCAAGTCAATCCTAAGCCAAAAGAATAAAGCTGGAGGCATCATGCTACCTGACTTCAAACTATACTACAAGGCTACAGTAAACAAAACAGCATGGTAGTGGTACCAAAACAGAGATATAGACCAATGGAACAGAACAGAGCCCTCAGAAATAGTGCTGCATATCTACAACCATCTGATCTTTGACAAACCTGACGAAAACAAGAAATGGGGAAACGGTTCCCTATTTAATAAATGGTGCTGGGAAAACTGGCTAGCCATATGTAGAAAGCTGAAACTGGATCCCTTCCTTACACCTTATACAAAAATAAATTCAAGATGGATTAAAGACTTACATGTTAGACCTAAAACCATAAAAATCCTAGAAGAAAACCTAAGCAATACCATTCAGGACATAGGCATGGGTAACGACTTCACGTCTAAAACACAAAAAGCAACGGCAACACAAGCCAAAATTGACAAATGGGATCTAATTAAACTAAAGAGCTTCTGCACAGCAAAAGAAACTACCATCAGAGTGAACAGGCAACCCACAGAAAGGGAGAAAATTTTTGCAATCTACTCATCTGACAAAGGGCTAATATCCAGAATCTACAATGAACTCAAACAAATTTACAAGAAAAAACAAACAACCCCATCAACAAGTGGACGAAGGATATGAACAGACACTTCTCAAAAGAAGACATTTATGCAGCCAAAAGACACATGAAAAAATGCTCATCATCACTGGCCATCAGAAAAATGCAAATCAAAACCACAATGAGATACCATCTCACACCAGTTAGAATGGCGATCATTAAACAGTCAGGAAACAACAGGTGCTAGAGAGGATGTGGAGAAATAGGAACACTTTTACACTGTTGGTGGGACTGCAAACTAGTTCAACCATTGTGGAAGTCAGAGTGGCGATTCCTCAAGTATCTAGAACTAGAAATACCATTTAACCCAGCCATCCCATTACCAGGTATATACCCAAAGGATTATAAAACATGCTGCTATAAAGACACATGCACACATGTTTATTGCGGCACTATTCACAATAGCAAAGACTTGGAACCAACCCAAATGTCCAACAATGATAGACTGGATTAAGAAAATGTGTCACATATACACCATGAAATACTATGCAGCCATAAAAAATGATGAGTTCATGTCCTTTTTAGGGACATGGATGAAGCTGGAAACCATCATTCTCAGCAAAGTATGGCAAGGACAAAAAACCAAACACTGCATGTTCTCACTCATAGGTGGGAATTGAACAATGAGAACACATGGACACAGGAAGGGGAACATAACACACGGGCCTGTCGTGGGGTGGTGGGAGGGGGGAGGGATAGCATTAGGAGATATACCTAATGTTAAATGACCAGTTAATGGGTGCAGCACACCAACATGGCACATATATACATGTGTAACTAACCTGCACATTGTGCACATGTACCCTAAAACTTAACGTATAATAATAAAAAAAAAAGATAGTGTAAGCAAATATATAGGTACAGCAAATGTACTTATTACCATGGGAACTGTCATTGAGCTTCTGTGCTTTTCTTGGTGATTTAAATCGAATGGCTGATTTGTTCTATCAGTCTTCCTGGAACTTGAAGGTAATCAGATGGGCCTATAATCTCTAGGATCATCCCTTTTCTTCCTCTTTTATAAAGGCAGGCATTACATTGGTTCTGTTCCACTTCCCAGGGACTCAGTTACTGAAAAGAGTTGATAAATGCACTCAGAATCTAATTCTCAACTGCCCTGAAATATGTTACCATGTGCTGTGAAATTGAACCACATAAGCAGATGTTCCTTTAAACCGCCCTTCTCCCATTGTTTCAGCAGAACTTGTTTTTAGCTGTTTCCACCCATCTATCAGAAAATAAACATTTTCTTAGACTTTCTTTTTTGATATGTCTAAGTGAAATTCTTTTCTCCATGTTGTTTTTTAGCTCAAGACTTTTATTTTGCATTTTCTCCCCAGTAATAATAATAAGAACAATAACAACACTAATATAAACACCATTCTTCTAATGTGCTGGTCACTGTGTTAAGCCCTTTATATAGGCTAGTCTATTAAATCTTCACAGTAACCCTGTACAATAAATACCATTCTCATCCTCATTTTACACTTAAGAAGTCTCAGGGACAGCAGACTCTTTTTTGTCCTCTTTCACAACTTGAAAGTGACAGTGTCAGATTCTAACAGAAAATGTTAGCATAGCCTCATTTTTAACCATTATGACATTCTTTCCAGCCTCATTTTCTTCCCCAAAGTCCAGTTGGATGCAAAGAATGTAGTTCAGTTCAATACTGAACTGAGATTGAACAAAATGTAGCTGAATTCAGAGAAGTTCAATAAAAATTTAAGGACTATTAAATTAAAGTTAGTAAGAAGCCAGTTTGATACCATAACGTGCTGTATTTTATATACCTAGTTAACCTAAATTATGTTTTTATTTTTTCATTTAGCTTCTTACATGCTTCCAGTTTGAATATTTTGTTTACATGTGCCTTTTGTAAACATTTTTCTAAAATTTAGAAGTATTTTAATTGTAATCATTTATTTTAAAAACACGTAGTATCTATATATGCCATTTTACACACATTAAGTGATTTGGATCTTAAAAGTTGATAATCTACCATATTTTTCTTCTCATTCTCCATAGACGCTGCCCTTTTAAGCATATTTGCCTAGATGATTGCTTCTGGACAGTCAGAGATTTGGCCCCCAAGAGACATGTGGCAATGTTTGGGGACAATTTTTATTGTAATCACTTGAGGGCTGGAGTACTGGTATCTAGTGGTAGAGGCCAAGGATGTTGTTAAACATCCTATGAGGAACAGGGCAGCACCGCACAGTAAAAAATCACCAAGCTCAAGAAATGTCAGTAGGGCCAAGATTGAGAAATCCTGAGTCCTAAACTATCCCTGGGGACATTATCAGCATGGACAATAGGACTGGGCTGTGCATTCTTCCTTTTAGGCAAATGTCATTGGTTTTATTGGCTTTATTTTTCCTCCGTCTTAAACACCCCCAACCCCCCCTCATTGTGCTTATTAGTGTTTTAATTAGAAGTGAGTGTTAGCTTTTTCTTTCAAAACAGAAATATCTTGGTGATGACAGTAACTGACAAAACATCTGTTAAATTTTTCACAAAAAAATTTCCTTATTTCTCAATGTTCTTGGAATGCTGTTGATGTTTGCTGAAGTAAATTTCCAGACTCCATTCATTTATCAAAATTTGGGTATTCTATAATACAATCAAACATTTATCTAGTATCGTAATTTGCAATCCCTTTAGATGTAATCTTCAGTCATCAAGAGCAAGTTCTAGGCTGCTATGAAATTAAGTTCGCTTCTTCAAATTGTTTGAGCACGATTGTCGTTTAGTAAAATAAACATAGCTCTATTATTTCTTAATGTCTTTCTTAACAAGTATAAGATTAGACTGCTTCTCACAAACTCCCATTGGGCAGCATTTAAGAAGTGAGTAATATTTCTGTCTGTTTAAGTCAAGTAATCCCAAATGGAAGTAATTTATGGGAAGGCATCGGGGAGAGTTACAATAGACATATTGCAATATGCCACTGGAAATCAACATCTCCCCACATGTTTGATCAAGAGCCAGATGGAAGCTTTTATCATATTTATTTAATCTGAAATACACATGGTAATTACACTGGACCTTTGATTCAAGTCCTTATTAATGTCTCCAGAGAAGTCAGGAAATGAGTTTGTCAGTTGCAAACTGATTTAGTCATGACCCTCTGGGTAGAATTTACATCTATCACTGCCTAGATTAGAGTAGAGCTACAAGTCACTTTGTGCCTCAAGAAAGTGAAGTAAAGTAAAAGCTTAGTTAACGTGTGTAAGAGGAGTAAGAAGCTCCTGCTCTGTCCAAAATATTGTTTGTACTATTTTTCATTCATGCTGCTCCAGAATGGCTCCCTCCTATGAGTGGTGTGTGAGTAAAGTAGAATATAAAGTTTATGGCCACTATCTCACAAAGTAAAATTAACCAAAACACCAACAAAGGCACATTGAAGTGAAATACTCTCACATTTCGAGTCCCAAATCTGGGGTCTTAGACAACTTCTACAATTAAACTTAGCAGATGTTAGTATACATGGAGTTTTCTTTGGATTAGTGATAGGAAGAGGAAGATATCGCAAAGATCACCTTTCAAAATGTTACATTTAGGAAAATGTGAGTTAGCAAAACTTTAATGTTGAATGTTTACATTCTAACTTTTCAACTATGATGTTTTTACATAATAAGAAAACATGTATCAAAGATGACCAGTATTAATATGTATAAAAAACATTAAAATAATATACCTGTTAAGGTAGATGGAGCTTATTTATCTTTGGAGGATGGGTGTAATGGAAGACATCAACTAAATGTTATTTTTTTAACATTCAAAAACGTGCATTATGATTATGTTATTTTATTTTCAAAGTTAGAAAAACGAATATATATGTATTTGTTTAAAGATTTGTACATGTATATACGTGTGTATATATATATGTACAGCCTTTTGAAAGTGCTCACAGAAAATATAGCATTTTCTGATATATTTTTGATGTTTTGTAGGAGAAAAATATGAATTAAGTTTATTACCAAAGAATAACAATAGATTGCTATTAAGATGTATAACTAATGAGAAATATTCAGGTAAATCACATACCTACTCTGAAATGACTTCCACAATTTTATTGCTTGATCAAAATGATATTAATGGCTATTACTGTTGTCCTAATAAACTTGCATAGAATTTTATTTCATTAAATTAAATTAAAAAGCTATTAAATTAAATCCTATTAAAATTTAAATGGTAATTAAAAACCATAAAATAATCCTATCAATAATTTATTTATTATGCTAAGCCAATATGATATATACTACAGCTATCCTGTGGTTATCTCCCATATTTCCATTAACAATGTTCTTAAGCTTGGTTATTTATCTGTTTCCATTGACATGACATAACTACTGTTATCTCCAATAAGTTTACATTGTACAAACAAGGAAAGCACATACTGAACATGTATTCTGCTGGATGCCCTACTAAGAATGTTCTACATAAGATCCCATCTCATTTTCACAATAAATTTTATAAGATAAGTGATCAACAAAGGCAACATTTTACAGAAAATAAAACAAGGCCTCTAACTATAAAAGACAATTAAAACTAGGATTCATAATCAGGGTCTCGTTTTTATGGCAAGTCTTTTCCGAAAAAAGGTAAATTTTAAAATTTTTCTTTAGTAAAGAATTGTTGTACCCTTGTTTTTTCCTGTTTTGTATTTATAACAACAAAAACCTTTCATGTAATGTAGTAATTAAAATGTCTTCCATATGCAAAGTTAAAAACAGTTATGATTCAGTGAACAAAATAGAGAACCAGATATTAACACTTCTGATTCTAAGTGAGCTGTTGCGTTAGAATGTGACTGTATTAGTCCATTCTCACATTGCTATACAGAAAGACCTAAGACTGGGTAATTTATTTTATTTTATTTTATTTTTATTTTTTATTTTTTTTTTTGAGACAGAGTCTCACTCTGTCTCCCAGGCTGGAGTGCAGTGGTGTGATCTTGGCTCACTGCAAGCTCTGCCTCCCAGGTTCACGCCATCCTCCTGCCTCAGCCTCCCGAGTAGCTGGGACTACAGGCACCCGCCACCACGCCCGGCTAATTTTTTGTATTTTTAGTAGAGATGGGGTTTCACCATGTTAGCCAGGATGGTCTTGATCTCCTGACCTCCTCGGCCTCCCAAAGTGCTAGGATTACAGGCGTGAGCCACCGTGCCTGGCCAAGACTGGGTAATTTATAACGAAAAGAGGTTTAGTTGGCTCACAGTTCCATGGGCTGTACGAGAAATGCGATGCTGCCATCTGCTCAGCTTCTGGCATGGGGGGCAGGCATCAGAAGACTTACAATCATAGCAGAAGGCAAAGGGGGAAGGAGGAAGGTGAGGGTCGGTGCTACACACTTTTAAACAACCAGATCTCATGAGAACTCACTCACTATCAAGAGAACAGCACCAACGGGGCGGTGCCAAACCGTTCATGAGAAACTGCTCCCATGATCTAATCACCTCGCATCATGCCCCATCTTTAATTCTTGGGGTTACAATCCAACATGAAATTTGGTGGGGACACAGATCCAAACCACATCATTCTGTGCCTGATGCTTCAAATCTCATGTCCCTCTCACATTGCAAAATACAATCATGCTTTTCCAGAAGTCCCCCAAACTTGTAACTTATTCCACCATTAACTCCAAAGTTCAAAGTCTCATCTGGGACTAGGCAAGTCTCTTCTGCCTATGAGCCTATAAAATCAAAAACAAGTTTGTTACTCTCAAGATACAACAGGGGTACAGGTGTTGTGTAAATACTCCCATTCCAAAAGTGAGAAATCAGCCAAAAGAAAGGGGCTACAGGCCCCAGGCAATTTGGAAACCAAGCAGGGCAGTCATTAAATCTTAAAGCTTCAAAATAATCTCCTTCTACTCCATGTCTCACATCCAGGGCACACTGGTTTGAGGGGTGGGCTACTAAAGCCTCGAGCAGCTCCATTCCTGTGACTTTGCAGAGTTCAGTGCCTGTGGCTGCTCTTATGGGCTGGTGTTGAGTGCCTGAAGCTTTTCCAGGCACACAGTACAAGCTGTCAGTGGATCTACCATTCTGGGATCTGGAGGACAGTGACTCTACTCCCAGAGCTCCACTAGGCAGTGCCCCAGTGGGGACTCTGTGTGGGGACTCCAGCCTCTCATTTCCCACTTTGCACTGCCCTAGTAGAGGTTCTTCATTATGGCTTGGCCACTGAAGCAGGCTTCTGCCTAGACATCCAGGCTTTTCCATACATCCTCTGGAATCTAGATGAAAGCTCCCAAGCCTCAAATCTTGCCCTCTGTGCACCTACAGGCTTAACACATGGAACCACCAAGGCTTAAGGCTTGCACCCTCTGAATCAGTGACCCAAGTTATAGCTGGTCCCACTTGAGTCACAATTAGAGGTGGAGTGGCTGAGATGCAAGGAGAAGTGTCCCAAGGTTGCACAGAGTAGCTGGGCCCTGGACCTGGCCCAGAGACCTAGGAGGACAGAACGAAACCACCTGTCATGGAGGGCCTGCTGCAAAGGTCTCTGAAATGCCTTCAAGGCCTTTTCCGTATTGTCTTGGGTTTTCCACATTATCTTGGCTTTTTACTTATGCAAATTTCTGCAGCCTGCTTTAATTCCTCACCTAAAAATGGACTTTTCTTTTCTACCACATGGCCAGGTTGAAAATTTTCCAAGCTTATATACTCTACTTTCTTTTTTAAATATCAATTGCAGTTATTCATCATTTCTTGGCTTACACATATGAGATAGGATGTTAGAAGCAGCCAGATCAAATCTTGAATGCTCTGCTATTTAGACATTTATTCTGCCAGATACCTTACATCAACACTCTCAAGTTCAAAGTTCCATGGATCCCTAGGGCAGGACTCAATGCAGCCAGTTTCTTTGCTAACACATAACTAACGTGACCTTTGCTCCAGTTCCCAGTAAGTTCTTTATCTGTATCTGAGACTTCCTCAGCCTGGAGTTCATTGTCCATATCACTATCAGCATTTTGGTCACAACCATTCAGCAAGTCTATAGGAAGTTCCAAATTTCCACTCATCTTCTTATCTTCTTCTGAGCCCTCCAAACTTTTTCCAGCCTCGCCTATTACCAAGTTCCAAAGTCGTTTCCACATTTTTAGGTATTCTATAGAAATGTCCTACTCCTTGATACCAATTTTCTGTATTAGTCTGTTATAGCATTGCTATAAATACCCGAGACTGGGTAATTTATAAAGAAAATTGGCTCACAGTTCCACAGGCTGTACAGGAAGCATGATCCTGGCATCTGCTGGACTTCTGCAGGGGAGGAAGCCCAGGTAACTTACAATTGTGGTGGAAGGTGAAGGGGGAGCCAGAACTTCACATGGCAGGTGCAGGAGGAAGAGAGAGCCGAGGGAGGTGCTACACACTTTGAAACAATCAGATCTCAGGAGAACTCACTCACTCACTATCGTTAAAACAGCACCAAGGAGATAGTGCTAAACCATTCAAGAGAAACCGTTCCCACAATCCAATCACCTCCTATCATGCCCTACCTCCAACCCTGGGAATTACAATTTGACATGATATTTGGTGGGGACACAGATCTAAATCATATCAGTGACTTTCAAAAAAAAACTTTGTTATTTGTTATTTTCTTGTGTTACTTTGTAAGACAGTTCGAACCCTTGGTGAATGACAAATTCTAGAAAAAAGGAAAAAATGGATTTATTTGAAGGTAGGAGAAAAGAATTAAATAAACACAATTTGTTATAGAAACATAAACAATTACACTAATTTAGAAGAATGATTATAACTACATGAAGTTTTCAACTGTAATTAAAATATGATTTATTTTAGGTTATGTATTTAATGATATCTATGAAAAACACAGTCTGTACCTGTAAATTGTATTTGTATTCCTTAAGTAGAGGAAAGCTATAGGGTTCTATCATTAAAATTCTGGGACATTCTTAGGTATTAGGTACGGCTTTGAAAAGTTTTAAAATTTTACTTTTATTATTATAACATATAGTGTGGAATATAAAATACAGATATTTTAAGGTTGCCATTTAAATTTTTCTTCAGCACAGTTGAAATGACTGTAGTGAATGCATCTTAGAGCTTTCAGTTAAGTCTTTTCATTGGTATGTTTGGCCTATAAGGTTCTGTGCAATAATTGTTAAAATGAATAATTATATTTTATGTATAACAAGAATTTAAGTCCAGTGCTTTGTAACAATGATGTAGGACAAAATTTTACATATAATTATACTTCATATTAACTTGTAAGGGCAGAATTATTTTATAGGCATATTTGCCACTCATTAATATTTAAGTAAATTTCTTCTGAAGATTTTGTTATAGGCTTAGTTAGCTGCATTTTGCATACTTATTTCTCACATTTAAAAAATCACAATCTATTAATTCATAGAGTATGCAAATTTTCTGTATGCTTAAATAGAAAGATTAATTACTGTTGTAATTTAAGCATAGTATGTTTCTTACAAACTTTCTTTTTCTTTCTTTTTGGAAAACTAAAGTGTATTTTATACTCACAAACATGCACACAACTATTTCTGTCATTATATCAGTGTCTAGATCCATGACTATCTGATCACTACATTCTTAATGATAATAAGGTCATAGCAGCTCCTGATAGGTATTAAATAAATAGCTCATATAAATAGCCAAATCTCCAAGGGTTAACTACACTGAAGTTTTATACCAGTATTTTCTTCTGAATTCATGTTATAAGAAATCAATAAATTTGATAAAACCTTCTTCCAAAATTCTTCCTATAACGGAGTAAATTAATGTACTTAACAGATCCAAAATTAAGTGACATTCTAAGTTGGTTTCTGTAATACAATATTTGAAATATCCTAGTTCATTTTTTATTATATCCTATCAATTACATTAAGAGACTAGATTTTCCTTGTAAGTCAAACATTTGAACTCTAAACATATTTTCTACATTACCTTTTGGGTCTAAATGCATTTTTTGCGTGTACACTTGACAAAAACTTATCCACCACTTATACTTTTGGTCATTTTGGAAAATAGGTTCTGGATTGGGAGATGCGGAAGAAACCCAGTGATGTTTGGTCTTTGACTATTTTCTTCCAATGTCTTCGTGGAATAGTTTCAGGAGAGAGCACAGCACAGAGAACAAAGAATCTCAGGAAAGGAATCTTCTCTGCAATTTGGGAAAGTTGTTCACAAGAACATGTGCTCAGGCATCCATAAGCCAAACAATTACTTTTTAACATGCAGTAATCATGGTCTATCCTCTTGATAGCAACTTTCCCGTATGAAAATTCTCTTATGCTGGTCTAATTCAGCTTGGGTCAGGTTCAGTTTTGCAGTTAGGAGCTTGGACAATAACATAATGATAAATATTTACTAAAAAATCTAAATTTGTTATGAAAATAGTAACTATTTTGCAAGACTGATTTGTGGTTCAAATGAGTTTATGCTTATTTAATAAATTTAATAAAGTAATAAGAATAATGCTTTTAATAAATATGAACTATTATATTTTATGGGACAAGTATTGTACTAAAACTTTTGTATATATTATCTGATCTGTTATGCACAAGAATTTTTTGTGTCACCTACTATTATTATCCTGTTTAATAGATGTGAAAACTAAGGTAGAGGGAGGTTAAGTAACATATCTGTCATATAGCTAGTGTATAAAGGACCAGTAACAGCAAGATGGGAGTGATTGAGTTACTTCCTATTTGAACATAACTTAGTACATGAAAAAGCAATCAGAGAACATCTATTTAAGCTTAATATTTTAATATTTAAAAAAAAGCATAAGTCTTTTCTACTGGTATGTGATGATCTCTTTATAATGATATATGGAAAAGACATATATTCATTATTGTAACTGAGAAACTGGTTCAATTATCATTTATAGTGGTTTTTAAAACTCATAAACATAGTTAATATAACTTATAATTATCATCAGAATAATCAATTCCAAAAATATATAACAGAATTGATTTGACTATAGTGACTAGTGTTGTTATATACATTTTAGAACTGACTTGTTTAAAAATATATTTTAGTAGAAATAGTATTGTGTGTCTAGTGTATTGGCTCATAAAAACTTAATATGTTTCTAACAGGTGATGATTCTACCCCATTTAAGTGTTTATTTTTCCATCAGATGTATTTATACACATGGATAAACATCACAGTCAATTGGTACAGCCTGAAATTTTAGAATAATGTGGAGTCTATAAACGATCTCATTGGCAAATATTTATTCTTTATTATACTAAGTATTTAAAAAATTCTTCTATACTATTTTTGTTGTTTCCTCTGAAAGCATGCTTAATTTAATTATAATCAAGCCATGTGTCTTTTTTTTTCAGCTTAAGAAATGTGTTTACAACTATATTTTACTCTTAGGCGAAAATAATTGCATACAATATACTTAACCTCCATTCTGCTTAAACATACCTTAATTTATCTTTTTAGATTTTCACAGAATACATTGCCAAAATGGATATATGGCAATGTCATATTGAAGTCATTTATTTTTTTTCTTAATGGTTGTTCCTATTTATTTATTTTATGTGTGTGGACAGAGAACAGTGATGTGTGAAGAGTTTGGTATTGTTGACATTGAAGGCAGAACAGCTCCAAGAGAGAAAGACAGGAAGCAACAGAATAAAAAGCAGCAATTTATATATATCACATAAAATAAACTAGGCACTGTGAAATGAATTTTAGCATATATTTTTTTCTGATAAAAGCAACCCCAAACTAGAAAATGCAGGCTTGTTGCAGGATGTCTAACCTTATGAAGCTCATTGTTTTATTTGCATATTTATTGAACACTTTTTAGATATGACATATGCATATGTCCTGTCTTTGTCCATTTGGTCTGCTATAACAAAATACCACCAATTGGGTAGTTTATAAACAACAGAAATTTATTTCTCACAGTTCTGGATGCTGAGAATTATGATATCAAGGTGCAGGCAGATTCAATGTTTGGTGAGGGCCTGCTTTTTGGTTCATAGATAGTGTAGTGTATTCTCTGTGTACTCACATGGTGAAAAGGGCAAAGCAATGCAACTCTGGGCATCCCCTCTTTTTTTTTTTTTTTTTTTTTTTTTTTTGGTTTTAGAGGGATTCTTGCTCTGTCACCCTGGCTGGAGTGCAGTAGCGCGATCTCAGCTCACTGCAAACTCTGCCTCCTGGGTTCCAGAGATTCTCTGGCCTCAGCCTCCTGAGTAGCTGAGATTACAAGGGCATGCCACCATGCCTGGCTAATATTTTATTTTAGGGCACTAATTCCATTAATGAAGGAATAACTCTCACGACCTAATCACCTTCCAAAGGCTCCACCTCCTAATATCATCACGTTGGTGATTAAGATTTCAACACATGAATTTTGGAGGGACACAAACATTCAGACCTTAGCAGATTCATTATAAACTGATTTTTTAACAGTGACTGTTTTGAGAAAAGCAGAGCAGGTACCTATTCTCATTTATAAACAGAGAAACTGAAACTCTACACTGGTCACATGGAAACTAGAATGAAATACTATTTGAGATCTCTGAGCTTAAAAAGAGACTACTATTTTATGAAGGAAAATTAGACTCTAAGTTATGTGCCCAATGGATAACTTAGCTGACTTTTCTCAGCAGCAAATGGCCCCATGGTAATCCATGGCAATCCAAAAACTTATTTTATTTTCCGTTTGATCACCTAGATAGCCTTTAAAAACATCCTTTTCTTTCACCTTCCTCCTGTTATCACACAGGTAATCTCCTCATGGAAAGTTCTCTCACTTTATGAATGTCAGTGGGAAAGGAGGTGAAGCGTTTTGTGAAGGACCCTTAGTTCTAATAGCTGCACTGCTCTGCTGGTTGAGAGTACTCTCTGGAGTTGTTCAGATTCTTCAGAGCTAAAAAATTTCCTCACTTGAAATAGTCAAGGAAATACTAGCCTGCATTCACCAGCAAAAAAGATCGCTGAAAGGAAGAGAACTATGCTAGAACCTACATTTTCCAAAAATAGAAATACCATGTTCGGATACATTTTCCATTTAATTTTTGTTCTCAAGAACAAACAGGGTATCTTTTTCAAGGACATATTTTATTTGTGCCCAGCACATTATTGATCATGTATAAGTATAGATTAATAAAATTTATTGTGAAATAATTAGGATGTCTGTAAATAATGAAGAAAGGATGAGCAGATCAGATCACGAAATGGGACAATCTTCCCAGGAGGGAAGCTGCAGTCCAGTGCATGAAATTAGTGCACGGAGTGGCAACAGTTTCCTTCTGCACTCCTGATAATCACATTGCACTTACTGAAACAGTTTGTAAATTGATTGTATCTCTAAGCTAAACAGCCTTGGAACACTAAAAACAAACCAAACTAAAACAAAGAAAATGGTGATTTTATAATTAGTATGGCCCAAAACGTTGTGAATAGGAAACTTATGTACTCTTACAGATATAAACATGTGGGGCCATTTGTTTTTTATGAGCTTCATGGGAAAATAAATTTGTGTTACACTAAATACATTCTGAGAGGAAAGATTAAGTTTTGTGTTTGCTTGGATTTGCTTTAACCCGTCATTGAAAATCTGTTGTATGATGTAGCCTTAATTTAAAACTCAAAGTTTCTACACATATTACGTATAGTTAAAACTATGTGTAAATCACTGCACAAATATGAAGAATTATATATTTTCATGTTTTCTATCTCTTAGATAGTATTCTTAAGCGTTTTTGTCAGAAACAGTAATTGTACATAAAATTACGACATAATAGATGGCCCTTGAGTAAGCGCAGTGACGCATTTCTCTCCAGGGACTTTGCTTATGTCAAAGAACAGTTTATTTTTTCCCACAAGTTATGTATAACTGTTTCTAATGTTGTACCATAGTGCCCCTCTTTCTGAAGAATTATTCTTTTTAAATAGGGGGAAGTGGGCCCTTAAGTATATGGAAAAATTCTAATTTAATGTTAGAATCAAACTATAAAAAGCAGTAATTAAGTACATATCTGGATGAGTCATTTATACTTGATAGTAACAGTTTTATTATAATTTAGTATTATGAAGGGGCAGTGATCCGTTGCTCAGCACAGCAAATTGGCATATAAAAAACAATCTGTTTGGAATTTAGCATAAGAATTTAATATTATTCATTCACTCAATTTGCTTAGCTTTAAGAACTGTGTAAAAGTGCTGTTACAACTATATTACAAGTGTAAGAAACAACCTTTATCTTCAAGAAAACATATCTTTGGGGGAAGATAAAACTTAAACAAGTGAATTAATCTGGAGGAGTAAACTCCTGGACTAAATAATTCAAGGATAATTGACAGAGACTGATCACTGTTGTTCGGACTTTGCATGCCCAGAGGGAAAGAAGTATGTCTTACAGGATGAAGAAGCATAAATAACAGGAGATTATTTAGCATGGATGGGCATTGGATTCTCCATCATGATAGAAAAAAAAGGAATACAGACTATGTGGAAAAATAAAATGCTATAAATGACCTCAACCAGCTCTCGTTCCCAAAATAGGAGTCATCTTAGCCATACTAAAAACTGACTTCCATAGTTAATTTTAAAGCTTTTCCAAGATTATTTCAAAACTAGTTTAAGCAAGCTGTTTCGAGATAACTATGATTTTTCTGAGTACGTACTTTACATACATTGAAAAAAATTGCAATATATTACATAGAGCCTGACACAGATTAAATACTCAACAAATTATTCTCTTATTTAATCCTCACCCATCAGACTGCCACCAGATTCTTTTTCCATCTAATCTCATGTTATGCAAATCTTTCTGTATTAATATTTTCCCTAATCTTTCAAATAGACACTTAGAATGGTTCACAGTTTTCACATGGAGTAAATTAAAAGTCCTGAATGAGTCTTTTAAAAGGCTGAAAAAGGAAACCTATATTTTTCCACATGGCAGCTTATACGTTCCAACTCTCTTTTTTTTTTCCTCATAAAACTAACATTTGGATAGTGCTTCCTTTGTGTCAGACATTCTTCTAAGCCATTTCAGAGTATTGATACATTTAGTCACTGACAATGCTGGGAAATAAGTATTCACATTCTAAAGATGAGAAGGCTAAAAAACCTGACCTGTGTCACACAGATAGCAGTAAATGGTTTAAGGCTTGGTGTAAACAATTTGTAAATCCAGAGTTTGTAAGCAGTGTCTTCCACTTGAAAAATTTTCACTGAGTTTTCTGTTAATCAAAATTTGACTTTGAAAACATATTTATTTTAATATATAATAACAATTGAATAATAATCACTTTCTTTGTATAAAAATGTCCTTGGAACTTAATTTTAAAATATTTTAAATAAAATGATTTACATTTTAATTATTTCCTACCATTATATTTATAACTGAAAATCAAATATAATAACTTAATAAAGTATTTTTTATAAAAAAATTTTACATGGTCAGACGCAGTGGCTCACACCTGTAATCCTAGCACTTTGGGAGGCCTAAGCAGGTGGATCACCTGAGGTCAGCAGTTCAAGACCAGCCTGGTCAACCTGGTGAAACCCTGTCTCCACTAAAAATACCAAAATTAGCCTGGCATGGTGATGCATGCCTATAATCTCAGCTACTTGGGTGGCTGAGGCAGGAGAATAGCTTGAACCCAGGAGGCGGAGGTTGCAGAGAGCTGAGATTGTACCCCTGCACTTCAGCCTGGGTGACAGAGCGAGACTCCATCTTACAAAAAAAAAAAAAAAAAATTCCAACACTAGAATGAAAAGCTACTTGCATTCATATTTTCTACATACTGTTATCTTAAAAGGCCAGAAATTCTTCATATTTGAGTTTGTACCTTGTATTTTAAGAACAGAAAACACAATAGACTAGACCCTTGATAGAAACCCCAGCAATGATTTCAGAGATAGAATTACATTATGTAGGATTTCTCCATATTAAGATTTTAAGTAAAACTATAAATTAGTGTTATTTTTCACTCGTAAATATTTAAAATTACTGAACTTAGGTATTATAATTTGACATAATTTTCTCTTTGGAGTCTTTACTAAGCATCAAATAACTCTAAATGAAAGTTGTTAAGTTCAGAAAGCTTTATGTTTACAATATCTTTTGTGTTTTCTGCATTGTCAGGTAAAAGAGATTACTAATGTATTATCACATCTCCTGAAATTTACTCCAACATTAACAGGCTAATGCCAACAAATCATGGGCTAATGCTTGAGAATGAAAAATGATCTTTAACAATACATGATGTATTTATCTGAATAACAATGTAGACACAGCTCTCTGTTAAGAAATTTCAGAAAGCTTTACTTCGTCTTTTTATTGCTATGAAATAGGAGGTAGATGTGAGAGGAAATATGAGAAATTGCCATTGAAATTTAGCCATTTAAATTATGTACTCTTCCTGCATCATTCAGGTAATACTTATCCTCAATCCCAAACATTTGTTTTAGTTGCTAAGAATAAAAACTTAAGGAGAGGCTCTTAGTTCTAACAGTTATGGGGATTTAAAAAAAAGCATAGCCAAAAATATTACTTTTTTAAAAATACACTTACTTGTAGACATATAAAGTAACTTTTCTCATATCCATATTATCTTTAAAACCTTAAAATCCTATGAAAATATGTTGATTTACTTTGTCAATGAAATGAAAGATGGAAGTTGAAGTATTTCCTTCACAGATTATAAGAATGAATAGGATCAAATAAATATGTGTTATAAATTAATTTCTTCAAAAGTTATGTTAATCTATCTCTGAATGTATCTGAAACAAACTGAAAACAATAATGAACATGATAAATTTAAATTGATCTACAACAAATTTTAACAGATCAAATCGTTTTAATGTCAAAAAAAAAAGGAAAGAGAAAATGGCCTATATATATAATCTGAGATTCTACTGTAAGAATGAAGGTTACAGGCAAAAAAAATTAAATACATCAATGAAACCTTTCCCTAATAGTGATCTATATCCTAAGACACTACCTCCATTCCATTCACTAGGTACAGATGTCATGTAATTCATATTTCAGTTGCAAAGATAGCTGTACCTGAATTGATCTACTGCATTAAGAATGAGCAAGAAATACCATCAGCATCAGAACAGAGAGTCTTTGTTCAAGTCATCCCAACAGTAAGATGAAAAATGAGAAAAGAAAATACAAGGATATGTAAAGATTATTTATTTATTTATTTTTGAGACAGGAACTCTGTGTTCCTTAAACCTCTTTTTCCTTATAAATTACCCAGTCCACAGGTATGGCTTTATTAGCAGCATGATAACAGACTAATACAGAAAGCATACAATTTAATTAAAAAATAATAATGGCCGGATGCGGTGACTCACGCCTGTAATCCCAGCACTTTTGGAGGCTGAGGTGGGCAGATCACGAGGTCAGGAGTTCAAGGCCAGCCTCACCAATATGGTGAAACCTCATCTCTACTGAAAATACAGAAATTAGCCGGGCGTGGTGGTGCACGTCTGTAGTCCCAGCTGCTCAGGAGGCTGAGGCAGGAGAATCATCTGAACCCGGGAGGTGGAGGTTGCAGTGAGTCAAGATCGTGCCACTGCACTCCAGCCTGGGCTACAGAGCAAGGCTATGTCTCAATAATAATAATAATAATAATAATAATAACAGCTTTGAATATTTTTAATATGTTAATATTTAAACATTTTCAATGATTAAAAATTTTGTTTAAGCACAGAAAATAACATTAATGCAAACATATGACCCAATACCATAAAACTACACAACTTACTAAAAGACACTGAATGTTTGAATTGTTAAAGACTCATGCTGATTATGTATAATACACTATATAAAGCAAAATGTATTTATAAGTTTATAAATCCCAATAAATAATCTGTTATATTTTGATTCTTCCAAAATTTTTCTGAACTTGATAGGGGGTGTTTTTAGAAGTCCTTCAACTGATTTTTAAAACCATAATACTGGTGTAATATTGGGCATACAGATCACTCATATAGACTAGAATGTGCAGAAACATATAAAATATATAGACAATTATTTTATGGTAAGTTACATAAAATTATTGATTAAAGAAATTCTGTGGGGGACAGCTGGCTATAAAAACAGAAGTTATATTTTAACACTTTAGCCTCAAATCATAGACCACAATACATTTTAGAAGGATTAAGATATAATAACAAAAGGGTTAGATGACAATAAAGATTTGTATGCATATAATCTTATTGCAAAAGTGTTTTTTATTCTATGACCCACAAGCCACGTGTCATAACATAATAATTTAATGGATTTGATTACATAAAGTTGTAAGACTAATCTATCTGAAAATACCAAAAATGAAAAATAAAGAGAACTTGCTAAAAATTGTTAATCTTTAAAGACAGCTGTTAAAGCAAAATTTAAATAGAAAAATGGGCAAATTGCATAGACAGGCATTTCAAAAGTAATGAATTAAAATAGCTGAAAATATTTAGACATTATTATGTTAACCTGTAATTTCATTAATCCAAAACATTTAAATTTAGATGTTACTTTTCCACATCAGAATGGCAAAATATTTTAAAATTATATTTTGATGTTAATGCAATATGGAGAAAAGAATCCCTCAGGTGCTGTTGATGGTGGGGGGGGGGTTGAATTTGTACAATTTTTTGGCAATGTACATTGACAATATTTATCAAAAGCCTTTACAAAATATTTATACCATTGATCCAGAAATACTTTTTAGAATTTACCTTCAGCAAGAAAGACAGGTGCAGAGATGTATGAACAAAAATGATTTCTAAGTTCTCTAAAAGAGTGCCCAGTTCTGCAAGATATTCAGCAAATAAAATGGATATGATTTATGACTGTCTGTTTATGAAAACTTGAGCAAGAGGTGGATTTTTGAACTGATTCCAAAGGATATTTCAAGTAATACAAATAGAGAATTCAGAAATATGACAGGTTTATTTTTTCCTCATTTTTGGAGATTTATGGGCAATGATAGAAATGTAGGGAAATACAAGAAATAGATATTAGAGAGCTAAAATTAACTAGTAACTTTAATTTTAACGTTTAATGTTTTTAAAGTAAAGCTTCCCCCACCCCCTCACCCCGACCCGCAACAGGCATTTCAAAGGTGTATTGTTAGGCTGGGTGCAGTGGCTCACACCTGTAATCCCAGCACTTTGGGAGGCCTAGGTGGGTGGATTTCTTGAGGTCGGGAATTCGAGACTAGCCTGGCCAACATGGTGAAACCCTGTCTCTACTAAAAAAATACAAAAATTAGCCGAGGCTAATTAGCTATGGTAGCGGGGCACCTGTAATCCCAGCTACTTGGAAGGCTGAGGCAGTAGAATCGCTTGTCCCTGGGAGGTGGAGGTTGCAGTGAGCTGAGATCATGCCACTCACTGAACTCCAGCCTGGGCAAAACATAAAACGAAACATAGTGTGTATTGTTATTTTTTTTTTTTTCAGGCAGAGATTTAGTGACCAATAGCTTTACTTACTCCTTTGACTCTCTTATCTTCAACTTTCATCTCCTGAGATCACTCAGGAGGCTTACATGTGTGAGGTATTTTTATCGGCTGAGCCTTCATTTAGTTGTCTAGAACACAAATCACTTTGTTTAATCAACTGTAACAGAGACTGGAAAATGCCTAGTTCTAATAACTGAAAGCAAAGAAGATGTTTGTTATCAGCTAGAAATCTCTGCCCCAATATACCCTTCTGATCACCGAATATTTTTTCACCTCGTTTCCTTTACACAAACCACTACCACATCCCATCTAAAGAAACAACGTAAAGTTCCATCAAACCAAGGTATCCAACTCAAAGCTCAAGATCCGCAGATATGCACAATTCTCTTCACCATATCTGGTGAAAAGAAGTGAAAATAAGACAAGTTATTAATTCTCCTCTCCATCGCATACACAATACACATGATAGAGGAGAAGTACTTCATGATAATAAATACTCCCATTTGGAATTAAACCAAGAATGGTATACACAGGGTAATCAGGGATCTGTAGCAATTATAAAAACATGCCAGGCTGGCATTACAAGTCCCCTCTGTCTTGACAAGGTTTGTTGTTCCCTGAAGAACCTGGATTCTCCTCTATTCATTCTTTTTTGCTTTCCCAAATTCTACCTTCTGTTGAGTTCAACCTAGTTAGTCATAGTCCATGACATATTTGAAGTAGGTGTCGGGGAGTATGTCCTCCATCGGGGATACATAGCTTTTATAGTCCACATTTTGCATTCAGCAAGTTTAGGTGTCTAGACGTTGTTTGAAGTTTCAAACAGTCAGACTTTTTTTTCTATCTAGACATATGATCCTTTGACACAGCAGTTACATTAAAAATACAGAAGACTCACAATCTATTTGTCAGATTAATGTTCCTATAATCCAGCTCTAGTTTTTGAAGGCATTCTTGCCAAGCCTAATTTACTTCTTTACTTTCACTGTCCGTTAAATAGATCTGTAAATTATAAATAGCTATCCTGAGGCTATCCGCAACAATGAACCTGGGAGAGCAGGAAGTACACTCAATCTGATCTTTGTCATAGGGCTGAGTCTTAGTGGATTTTATTGCCCAGGTCTTCACTCAGTTTTATCCTTCTATAAAGAGCTAATTTTCCAAACTTTTGAGTGCCCAAATGTCTGGGTATTCTTTTGACCTTTTCACTTCTTTTTTTTTAATATATATATATACATTTTTTTATTATACTTTAAGTTCTAGGGTACATGTGCACAATGTGCAGGTTTGTTCCATATGTATACATGTGCCATGTTCGTGTGCTGCCCCCAGTAACTCGTCATTTACATTAGGTATATCTCCTAATGCTATCCCTCCCCTCTTCCCCCACCCCACGACAGGCCCCGGTGTGTGATGTTCCCCTTCCTGTGCCCAAGTGTTCTCATTGTTCATTCCCACCTATGAGTGAGAACATGCAGTGTTTGGTTTTTTGTCCTTGCGATAGTTTGCTGAGAATGATGGTTTCCAGCTTCATCCATGTCCCTACAAAGGACATGGACTCATCCTTTTTTTATGACTGCATAGTATTCCATGGTGTATATGTGCCACATTTTCTTAATCCAGTCTATCATTGTTGGACATTTGGGTTGGATCCAAGTCTTTGCTATTGCGAGTAGTGCCGCAATAAACATGTGTGTGCACGTGTCTTTATAGCAGCATGATTTATATTCCTTTGGGTATATACCCAGTAATGGGATGGCTGGGTCAAATGGTATTTCTAGTTCTAGATCCCTGAGGAATTGCCACACTGTCTTCCACAATGAAAAAATGCTCATCATCACTGGCCATCAGAGAAATGCAAATCAAAACCACAATGATATACCACCTCACACCAGTTAGAATGGCGATCATTAAAATGACCTTTTCATTTCTTCTTGAAAACTGGCCATCCTTTTCTGGGCTGATTTCTTGCCTGTAAAATCCTAGTAAATGCAGAACATGAAAGTATATTATTAATTTGTCTCTTTCCAATCACTTTCTCTAGAATCACAAGTTCCACCGGCATCTAAATCTTGATGCTGAGTATTCATCTTCCTCTATCAACAGCATTTAACAGTCTCAACCCCTGCTTTCCCGCCAAAATACATTCTTCCCTTTGATCAACTACAGTGTTTTCTCCAATATCGCTTCCTCTCTGAATGTTCTCTCCTTTTCAGTCTGCACAACTGGAAGTTCTTCCTCTTCCTGAATTTTAAATATGGAAGTTTCCAGTGGTCAGTTCTCAGACCTCTTATTTTCTCCATCTAGACACCAATGGGTGAATTAGTCAATTTCCATAGCTGTAATAACATTTATATAATGATAAGTCTCAAATTATCATTTTCATCCCCAGGCTTTCTCATGACATTATTTTAACTTGATAACAGTATAGTTTTGTTACTCACACCAAAGAAATATGCAGACATACACACACATATTTTCAGATGGAGGTGAGGAGGAAGGAAAGGTCTATAGCTATACAAAATTATATATGTATATTTGCTTATCCAATCTTTTCCTTAAAATGTAAGCTCAATGGCAATAGTGATTGATATATCAAATGTTATATCCCCAGATACCTTGTATATTATATTTGTTCACAGGATGACTGGTGTAATGCACGTTAATGTATTATTTAACAGAAATTGTGTTAATTTTCAAAATAACTCATTCTAATGCAGTTATGTATTCTGTGACTAAATAACACATTAAATAGAACAATATTTTCCTGTCTTTTCCAGATCCTAATGCTTTGGCTGGCCAGAATGGCCCTGACCATGCTCTCATAGGAGGAATAGTGGCTGTAGTTGTATTTGTCACGCTGTGTTCTATCTTTCTGCTTGGTCGATATCTGGCAAGGCATAAAGGTACGTTATATTTAGCCAGAGTACACAATGTGGGCAAAATATTCTAGACTAACTTCATTATAAAATATGATATCAGTGCATATATGTTTCTGTACATGTGTAGAATAGGGAGATAGAGAGAAATGCTAAATTATTTCAGCGAATTCTTAATTATTTTACTTAAATTTAAAGTTGGATTGGCTTAGCAAAATAATGTTTAGCCAATGGCCAGATGTCATAGAGTAAGCCACTGGCTCAGAAAAATAGAAAAAATATGGAAGAAAGTTTGTAATTTATATCTAGAACTGAAATCCAACTATAACTATTTGGTTGATGTTTTTGTCAGTTTGTGAACATCTGTGTAGCCATATTTAGTGAGGAAAATATATATTGTGCAACGGGCCAGGTACCACTTTATTGCTGTAACCTACTTTTAAAGAAGTTTACCAAAAGAAACGGTGACAAGTTTGACATGACCGTTTTTAAGATCTTAACAAAATGTAGTCCCAGCTACTCGGGAGGCTGAGGCAGGAGAATTGCTTGAACCCGGGAGGCGGAGCTTGCGGTGAGCTGAGATCGTGCCACTGCACTCCAGCCTGGGCGAGAGAGCGAGACTCCGTCTCAAAAAAAAAAAAAAAAAAAAAAAAAAGATCTTAACAAAAGACCCTGTTTGCTACAGCTGTAAGGTTCACATTGATTTTATCCATCATTAAAGAAGTCACAATTACTTATTACCCATTTCAGTTTGGCTCTTGCCTGTAGTAAATCAAGCCATAACTTCACCTGCAGCGTACCTGAAAACTGTAAGAAAACAGTGCAACTTTAGAAGAGTCAATCGGGTAGCATATTAGGTCTCAAAAATCTGGCAAAAGTTTCTTCCTAAATAATGTAGCTTTAATGCTGGGTATTTTACCAGTCTCACAGAGCTAACATATTTTTCTTCCAATATATGCAGGAACGTATTTAACAAATGAAGCTAAAGGAGCTGAAGATGCACCAGATGCTGATACAGCCATTATCAATGCTGAAGGCAGCCAAGTCAATGCTGAAGAGAAAAAAGAGTATTTCATTTAAGATGCAGGCCAAGATTCTGAGTTTTACTACCAGGCTGAATGCTGGAGAAAACTGGCTATCATCTTTCAGAAGTCATTTCTACCATCGTCTGCTACCCTTATTAACTCCCATACTGTACTGCTATCAGTAGCCAGTGTATACCAACAATCAGCTGTTGAAAGCATCATTCTTTAATTACTGTACCATCCATAATGCAGGACATTTCTTACTGCCTAAATTTCACACCATTGCTCTTTTAACATACAGTGCTTGAATATACAGCCTTAACAATGTTAATCATCTCCTTGGATCATTATATTGAGTGGTTTTTATACATTAAAAAATGTATGCAGAGTTTTTTTCCCCCATTTTTTCCCCTTTAAGTCATAGACCTTATCAGTTTGCCATTGGACAGCTTTCACAAGTAACAGGATTAGGGAAGGACATAATGTATTTAAGAATAAGTGAAGGTTAGAGGTTTACAATTAATGTTTTCTACATGTCTGTCTTCAAAGACAACATGCTTTGGAAACATATGTCCTAGAAAACATAAAATTAAAAAAAAACACTATAGTGTAGTTTTTGGAATGTTGGAGATTATACTGGTAAAGCTGTATCGATTTGCTATTGAAATATAGTATTTGATACAGGAGCCATGTGTACGAATTGCAATCATGACATGGTATTTTCTATAATTATAGAGATCTTACTATTAGGATATTGTAGCTTCATTTACCAATAAATTATTCCAAATGATTTACTGCTTTTGGAATCACAAATATTTAATTCATTTCTCTAATTTGATTCTATAATTTATTTGCTTCATAAAGATTCACCTGCCTAAACAATATTGAAGTATCCATAGGGCACAATTTTCAGACATTTTAGTATCTGTATATAGTGCATATAATAAATCCAATTAAACATTATTTGATACATATTTAACTTTTTTGGCTGTATGTAATTCAGTCATAAGTAAGCATTTTCTAACGTCCATTATATCCCTTTAGGTATTACTTAAACCAATATTATAAGTAGATAACATGTATTAGTATTTTTGTCTGTATGTCCTAGCACTGTTCAACAACAAATTTTTCTAGTTCTTGTTAATTTTTATTTGTTATACAATGGAAGCACAATGTTATAAGGAAAGGTAATTTTAAGCTAACAACCAGTGCACAGCCTCAGGTTTTAAATTACAACCACAGTTGAATAATAACCTAAAAATAAATTTTAGTTTGCTAAAAATTTACAAATTTTCATTTTGCAGTTCCAGAGCTGCTTACCTATGTTGGTTTGCCAAAAAGAAGTGTTTAAGATATGTTTTCTGTATAAATGAACTAATTCTTTATATTAAATTCCTGTCTATGCATTTTGTGAGGTACAAACTGATGAAACAGTGAGTGATAGAGAATTTCTGCCATGCTTTTAACTCCAAAGTGAAAGTCTCTTTCTCTGGATTATTTTAAAATTTTGGCGTGTTTAACCATTAAGAAATGCTGTATTCTTAAATATGAAACAGTTAATCTAAAGTCTTATTATTTCTTCTAGTAAAATAAAATATTGTTAGATTAGTTCTCATTAAATTTATTATATGCTAAAGAATAAAACTCCAGTTAGATTTAAAAAAATCCCATTTACAAGCATTGCACCTTTAAGAAGAAAACAAATATGACAGTATGGTAGCTATACTTGTGATGTCTGACGCATGATGGCCTATGGTTTTAAAAATAGTATTGTGGAATATATTTTTGGGTAATAAGAATGGTTGAGTGCAACATCATGTATTAATATCAAATGAAAGACAAGGGTGCTGTATCTTTGATTATTTATCAAAAAAGTATAAATCTTTTAAGGAAAATGTTAGAATTTTAAAGTTTTTTTTTGATTGTTGAAGCATTTATCTTGTTGATTTCTTACAAAAGAAAAAGGACGATGTCAGTCAAGCAGCACTTTTTCAGAATATACAGAACATAAATAATATGATGTGGTTGAGTGTTAACATAATAAATCATATACAGTATGACATTTTAAGGAAATAAGTCTGCATTGATGTGATTGCATGCTTGTTTTTACAGTTCACTCCATACCATCTGTGGAAAAATGCAATAATATGTTAATATAGTATGGTAGTTTGAGAGAATCAGGTAGGTGCTACTAGACACATTGAAACTAGAATAGGTTTATAAACTGTTCATATCTTTCAATGCATAATCTTTAGAAAGACTCCACAAAGCAAAATTCATCCTGTTAGTACAAAATGGAAAGGTTCTTATTACAGAAGTAAGTTGTACAAACTGCATCATCAATTACTATGTAAAGCCTAATTTCAGGATGCACTTACAAAATTGCTACTCTTCATCGATGCCGTATTTACATCCCTCTTCATTTCATCTATATTCTACTTGGCTCCAACAACTAAATTGTTGCCTAAATAACTCAATCATTATTTATAGCACTGTAAAATTAGAAATCCAAAATTGGTTGCATTTCATGATTTTTGACTCTTTTAACCCTTCAGAGTAATATAAAATCTCATTAGAACTCTTATAAAACCAGTTAGCTAAAACAACTAGATTATTATACTAGTTATAAATGCTGGTATATTATAATTTGTGGGATCTAATTAAATGTTTGCCTATTAAATATAGTTTGATTTAAATGAGACACCATGTTCTGAACTGGAGAAAACAATATCAATGAAGTCATATTTTCATACCTTTAAAAATTATTTAATTTTCAACCAAACAAAAAATAAATTGTAAAAATTATGCTCATTTCTATTCCAACAAGTCAGAAAATAATGACATAATATTTCTAAATGAGAATGATGTCAATTTCATTGTCTGGAACATGCACACTTGTGTGCACATAGAGTCAATTTCTGTCTCTTCTAAGTGAGCACAGTAGGTAGGGAACTCAATGGAAGCAGTGTGCACACACACACACCCTTAGTAGAATATGGAGCATTATTCTTTACCAAAAGTAGCTATTCTCTGCCAGTGTACTGTTTACAGTGTAAATTGATTGTCCTCCGTCAAAATCAAGTCTAAGCGGCATTTTACTTTTCTTTTCTTTTTTATTTTCCATTTTTGGGTGTTCTAGATAGGATTATTATCAAAAGTAGGAGGAAAAAGAAATGTTTGTGAGTGCAAGATTAAAGACAGAGCGCATGAGCAGAGTACTGATGGTGTGCGTGTTTGTGTGTGTGTATATGTGTGTGTATAAGAGAGAAAGAGAAATCGAAAAGAGAGAGAAATTTCAACTTGTTTTCTTTTACCAGAGAATCCAAGAAGCAGTTTAAGGAACCTGATATTGGAGTTTAATCTAGAAACTGGATGATCTCATATTGATTCATGATGCTTAATCTTTCATTGAAACTCCACAATTAAAATAACAAATAGAGAAAGAAAACTAACTTTCCTAAATATGGCAAAGAAACTAACACCTCATTTATTTTTATTTCTTTGTAAAAATATAAATATCTCAATCAAAAGTACAGGCTCATTTGTAATTATGTACTCATGATTGTAACAGCATTGAGATTTCATATAGGCACATGTATAGCAGCTGTTTGACAGTGATGGCTCTTCCATGTAACATAGCAGTTATCGTGTAATTTAGTGCCACTTATTGCAAAGTGTTACCAAGGGGAACATTTCAAATGCCTTTTGTTTTTCTTTGGACATCAAGGTAATTTAGTGGACAACAAATATTAAATTTTACATTATGCTTTTTAATTGTGGAGAAAATGCAAAACCTCATGTCTTACCACAACTTTCCCATGGTATTGCTAATTACTTAGAGTCTCTAAAATTGCCCAATATTATTTCCCTTTGCAAAT